>NC_000001.11:50159895-50311410 GCF_000001405.40 Homo sapiens | reverse complement strand
TTAACTACCTGGCCTTGTTATGCCATAGCAAACGAAGAGCATAGAGAGAAAAGGGTGGTGGTTTAGCCAGACAAAAGGGGCAAAGACTTTCTTCCTCACAGAGATTGGATGAGATTAGAGACCTTGTACAGTGAGGGGCATCAGGGCACTGGGTTTGTGAGACTATGACAGTGAGTGTCAGTCAATGATAAGGCAAATCTCAGTTGGGATTGGCACTGCATAGTAAGCTGGTCAGGGAGGGCACCCATCAGTAGGGTTTATGGGGGTCTCCCCTGCACCTGTAAGGAGCCCACAGACAAAAAATCAGGTCAGCAGCTAGGGTACAATTAGGAGAGGACTGTCTCACTGTGAGCTGTTACACCAGAAGTCTGCTACCTCCTGTCTCTCTCCTCACACCCCAATGCCAGAGCAGTGGAAGAGGGAGGAGGTGAGTGGGAGCAGATGCTGGAACTGGATTAGGGATGGTGAGGGGAGGAGGCAGGGAATAAGAGGGGCTGGGTAGGAAGAGCTTTGAATCAAACGTAAGAATACAAAATATAATTAAATAGGATTGAATCCTAAAGAACCCAGTAAAACTGTTCTAGTAAGTGGAAGTGACTGAAAAGTTATGGCCTCAGATTGAGTTTGTTAAGGCAGTCTGCTACCCAGCAGGAAAAGGGAGGGTTCAACAGAGCACAGTTGGTAGCAATTATTGGAAAAATAAAACTATTCTGGGTTTATAACCCAGTGAGCTGAAACTCCACATTAAATCAGTTTCATACTCATCCATTTAGCTACTATTTGCTGAACTTCTAGTCTTTGCCAGACAGTGCTCTTGGCACTGGTGATTCCAAGGAGCTTACCCTCGTGGGGAGACAGACAAGTGAAAAAAGTAACTGTTCAGCGTGATAAATGCTATGAGAAAGGATGGTAGAGGAGAGTGGGGCACGCAGGAGAGAAAGACAGTCATGGTTGTGTGTGTCAGGAGAGAGGTTGGAAAGGTTTTCCAGGGTCTTGAAGAATGAGTTGGGGTTGACAAAGCAGCTGCATTGGGGAATGGTGTCCATGTGCAAATGCACAGATGCAGGAGAGATCAGGGCACACTAGAGAAACTGTGAGTAGTTTGAGCAATGCATAAGGGGTGTTCATTGTTATAATTTATTTTTATTTTATTTTTTGAGACAGGGTCTCACTCTGTTGCCCAGGCTGGAGTGCAGTGGTGTGATCTCGGCTCACTGCAATCTCTGTCTACTAGGTTCAAGTGATTCTCATGTTTCAGCCTCCTGAATAGCTGGGATTACAGGTGTGCACTAGCACACCCAGCTAATTTTAGTATTTTTAGTAGAGATGGGGTTTTACCATGTTTGCCAGGCTGGTCTCAAATTCCTGGCCTCAAGTGATCCACCCACAATGGCCTCCCAAAGTGTTGGGATTACATACGTGAGCCACGGAGCTCAGCCCATCATTATCATTTATGTCTCTTATTCTCATTTTATCTCCTTTCCCCAACTAGACCGTAAACTCCTTCAGGGAAAAGTAATGTCAAATCTCAATTTCATCCCCTAATGACCAGCATTAGGTGCACAAATGTAATACTGAAATGTTTTTCACTGAGGGTAATCCAGCAGAAGTTGCATGATTCTCAGGGCTTGGGAATCCTGCAGAGGAAGGGAGGTAGATGGGTTTGTATGTGGCTTAGGACAAGTTAGCTTCCTGTTTAGGCCTTAGTTTTTTCTTCTGTGTATAAGAAAGTTGACCAGATGATCTCTAGAGTTAGTTTTAAAATAGTTTAACTTTAGAATTTGTGAGACAAAAGCAGTGGATTGGAAATCAGGAGATTTGGTCCCTATGTCCAGCTCTGCCGTTGACTAAGTGTGTTACCTACCCTTTCTCCTTTCCCTTCTAAGCCCAAGTTCCCTATCTATAAGATGCAGGAGCAGCACACTATAGCTGTAAAGCCCCTTTAACTCCAACCTTCTATGCCTTCCACACTGAATTCAGTTGACCTTGTCCAGGACTGGTGTCCTTGCTCAGGAAGGCCTCACTTTCCTCAATATTCTTCAGACACATTTTCAAACTCTATGGGGTAAGGGAGGGAGATTAGGGTCAGGAGAGGGTATTTGAGTGAGGCAATGAATATTTATAACAGACGCTCCTACCAGAGGACACATTAAGTCTTGCAGCATAACAAAACTGAATTACCATGAAATAAACTTTCTTAATTAAACCAATTAAATTTCTTCCCAGTATGTAATTTAGAAACTCTGATAAACCCTGGTTGAAAAGGTTTGTTTTAGCCTTAAGCTGGCTGAGGAAACAGGAACATCTGGTTGGTGGTGGAAAGGCCTGTTTAGGCTCCCGGCCTTGGGGGCAGCACCATGGAGCTATCCATGGTTCTGAAACAGCCTCTGCCTCACGGCCTCGATAAAGGACACAGGCAGGCCAGGGCCCGGTGGTGCTTATGAGATGTGTTATTTGAGGACAGTGCCTTCCACTTAAGGCATGGTGCACTTTTCTGTTTCCTATGCGTGACAGCCGCCACTCAGAAGTTAATCATGTATCCTTCTCCACTACCCCAGATCTACTAGAGTTTGAAAAGATGACATGAATTTTCTTATGCTTATAAAATCCTAGACTCTTAGAGCTAGAAGGGATGGCCTGGTTCACCCCTCTCATAAATGTAAGGAACCTGGGTTTCAGAGAGGTAAAAATGACTTGACCCAAGGTCACACAACTTGTAAGTGACAGAACTGAGATTCAAGCCCAAGTCTCTGACTAAATTCAGATCTGTTTTCACTAGGAGGTTCCTATAGTCAGTGAAGCCTTTCAGGGTAGGGGCCATGTCTTGTTCACCTGTATTTTCATCTGGAATCTATTTTAGTGCTTGGAATGCTTTTTTGAACAAATGAATACATGCATGCTGTTTTTATTCTTCCATAGTCCTTAGTACCATAGTGCAATTGGTACTCAATAACAGCCATGCCAGAGTACCAATTACACTGCTCAATCCTTTGTAAGATTATTATAATTAACAAAGTGCTTTTACTTGTTATTTAAATTGATTCTCACAATAATCTTAGAGACAGGTTGTGTTAGTCCCATTTTACACTAAAGGAAACTGAGGGTCAGGGGTCTAGTGGCTTGTCCAAGGTCACATAGAGAGTCAACGAAGAAGCTAGGGGTAGGACCCAACTCTCTTGATTCCCATTCATGAACCCAAGGCTGAAATTAGCACATAGGGAGGTAAAATAGAAGGGTAATGCATGGCTTCTGCTCTGAAGCTACAATAGAGTTGTGGCAATAAGCGACGCAATCTAATGTGCGGAAACAAGGTACAAGTACTCAGGAAAAAGGTAATAGAATGAGGTGGTGTGAGTTAAAGTCTGTTGAATGGCTCAGATAGTCACTGCTTTCACTCCAAAGACCTGTCGGGGTTTAGAGAAGTTCTCTGAGAGCAGGTAGGAGCTGACCTGTCACTGGAAGGTGAGTGAGATTTTGATAGGTAGAGGAAACATAATTCTCAAGAAATCCAACAACTTTAATGCTGGAAGAACCTTAGAGAGTGATTGCTCCTCCTACTACTCCTTCATTTTATAGACAGGAAAACAGAAATCTAAATAAATGAGTGACTTGTATAATACTATGAAGTCATTTATGGCAGGCGTTTGTGTGTAGACACTGGGGCCACAGGATGGGTAAGATAGTGTCTCTGCTCTCAGAGGGTTCTCAGGCTAGTAGAAGGTGGGACATGGAAATAAGCAGGTACATTCAAGTGTCACAGGCAATGATGGAGTCTATGTGGGACTCAGAGTAGTTGCAAAGGAGGGGCACCCATTTATAGAGTAGTGCATTTGAAGTTCAAAAGACTTCATTTCAACTAATCAAAGTTAGTCCAGGTCAGGAACCAAAAGCTAAAATCCATTTCCCAACTTCTGAAACCACTGACCAGAAGGAATTTCTGCCTAGGAGTGGCTTGAGCTGGAACACTGGAGAGAAGCAATTAGAAGGGCTGAGTTTCAGTTCTGGCTTCGTCTCTTTCTGGTTGTGTAGCGTTGCACTTGCTGCTCCTGCTTCTAGGACTATCAGTTGTCCCATAAGATGAAGGATTACTTTTCCTTTTTCCAGGGTTGCAGGGATAATCAAGAAATATCTGAGGAAAAATGTTTTGTCAATTATAAACTAATAAAGCAATATATATGTTAATTGTTTTTATTCCTCCTATATATAGAGCTTGATACAGAAGAAAATGTCCTGGGTTATATTTGAGTCACGTCTCTGGGCTCCTGATTTCTCTTCTATGGGATGGGAGATACCTGTCCTATCTACCATACAGAAATTGTATAGAATAAAAAAATACCCATGATGATAAAATGATAGGTGTAAACAAACAAAAGTGTAGTTGTATTCCTGAATGAGGATAAGTGATTGAGCATAAAGAAAACTGGACTTTATTATTGTAAACCCACATTTGTACCCTGAATCCATTTACAAAGAGAATTCACAGCCATTATCCTATCCAATTCCCTCAACAGTTCTGTGAGCTAGGGATGAGTTTATCACAGATGATTAGCCTCAACTCACAGATGAGAAAACTGAGACTCTGAGAAAGTGATAAGCCCAGAAGCTGAATCTTGGTCACTTTACCCCATTTCTTTCCAGCCAACCCTCAGTTTCTTAGTGCCCAGAACTCTGTCTTCATGCAAGTCTGTTTGGAAGACAGGCCAAAGTCATGTTCTCTTGGACTTCCCCCTTGCTATGGGGGCAGTTCTGGTCTTCTCCTCCATTCAGTACTTAGCCTTGGAAGTGCTTGATAAAATCCCAGAGATGGGTTAGGATGCCCATCTCTGCATGGGGTGCCCCTGCAAACAAACACCAAGCCACAGGTACTTTGTTATGTGTTCAAAGGACTCCAGATGGAAGACTAATACAGCTGGCATACTCCCTAGGCATGTTTTCAGCTGCTCAGGCTGCCTTAGCCAAGACATGCTATCCTTTGTTCATAATCTCAGTTAAGGGCTGTCCTCCCCATAATTCAGGCAGGAACCTAGGGGGCTATTGTCCACTTCCCTGTTATGTCTCTCCTTTGCTGAAACCTTCCAGTAGCTGGATTAAGCCAGTGTCCCGTGTGTGCTCCTTTCTCCATAAAGATTCTAAAAAAGAGAGAGGAAGAGAATCATTCTATTTTGGGATCTGGGGACATAATTGAATTGTGTTTAGTTGGAAGGTTTACTGCAGTACTCTTCCACAGTGTAGTCATGGATATTTGGGAGACTGTTAAGCTGGAGCCTCCAATGGGACCTGAATATTCAGAATCCAGGAAGTAGGGCTTTGCTGAGTTTTCTCTCACTAGGAGCAGGATCTGGTTGTGAATAACAGATCTAATTAGGAAGGGAAGGGATTATCAGGACCAGAGCTGGCCCAGGCACAGGAAACACTAATGCCTGCCTCCTGAGGAGCAATTATTGGCAGCTGATTATCCTTCAAGGGCAACCCAGGTACCTCCCCTTTCAGGATGCCTTCCTGATCCCTGGGTTGGGTTTGGGAAAATCTTTTCTGGGCTTCGAGAGCCCTAGGCTTCTCTCTGTCCAGCACTGATTACACTGTTGTTATTGTCTGTGTTGGTGACTACTATTATGTCCTTCCTTTAGACTGTGAGCTCCCTCAATGCTGGGTCTGGTTCAGCTTTTTATTCAGCTTCCATCACAGGGTTTGGCAAACAGTAGGTTTTGCACTGTGGTTAGGAGCGTGGGCTCTGGACCCAGACTGCCTGTGTTTGAATGTCAACTCTACTACTCGCTAGCCTGAAGACCCAAGGCCAGTCACTTAACTTCTCTGGGTCTTAATTTCCTCATTTGTAAACTGAGAGTAATAATAGTAATTACCTCATGGGTTTGTTACAAGGGCTAAAAATGTAAAGCACTTAGAACAGCATCTAGCACAGAGTGCTACATAGGGGCTGCATGTTATTATTTGACTCCTGATTTTGTATTTTGGATCTTCACTTAAAGCAGGGGCACCTGTACCAGGAGGTATGATTCCATGCCTCCTTTCCTCCTAGCCCACCTGTGAGAATGAGTTCCAAGGGTCTCAGTCTGAAGGGCAGGACACATCAAGGAAGATTGCATGGGATAAGGCATAATTGTTTTGCATAATTTGACCCTCGATGAAATCTCGGTGTTCTGTGACATGAAATGCAATTAGACTGACTTCTCCCTTCTCTACTCCTAATCTGCTCATGTGACACCCATCACCTGGGTCCAGCAGATGCTGAGAGGCATTAGTGTTCTATATACAGTAATAGGAAGATCTTCAGAAGACTGACGTGGACCGGCCTTGTCTGGTCTGTATTGAGTGGCATGGGTGGGAGTTAAGGTTGGAAGGCAGCTAGTGGAGATGGGTGTGCAGAAAGTACTAGAATGTTTCCTGCTGGAAAAGCTATGAGTAGGATAGTCCTATTGGATATGTCTAAGGGGCACAACGTCTGGATAATGTAAGTGTTTTTTTTAAAAAAAAAAACAAAACACAACACACTTTCAATCAGTCTGGTGAAGGAAGAGCTCTGGGATGGTATCTAGAATCAGGCAGTTTTGGCTCTGCCACTTACCAGCTGTATGGCCTTTGGGAAATTCATTTGTCATTTTAAGCCTCAGTTTCCCCTTGTAAAAAACAAGGGCCTTAAAATCAGTGTTATTAAACTAAGGCATATTCCCAAACTTTCATTAATTTAGCCCAAAGTGGGCCCTAGGAATCTATGCTTCTAACAAGCAATAAGGTGATTGTGTCCGTGGACTACACTCCATGTGCACAAATTGCTTCTCTCTGTATCTAATACGTTATGGGCCTATAATTTCCTCAAGATAAAGTTATAAATCTGACCACATCAAGCCCCTGTATAAACTTTTCAATGACCCCTGTTTTTTTTAAGACAAAGTCCTGCCTTCTTAGCCTGGTGTGGGCTATATAGGGGTTACATGTTATTATTTGACTGCTGATTTTGTATTTATATAAACATATAATTATTTATTTACATAAATTAATAATTATGTTCCTAATTCCATCTCTAGATTGATCTCTCTCACACCATTGTCATCTTCCACTTCTCACTCTAGCCATACAAGGACTGTTTGCAGCATATAGATTTCCCACCTCCACACCTCCTCTCAAGCTGTTCTTCCTTTATGGTGCATTCTCTCATTTTCTTTTTCTTTTTTTTTTAAAGGCCTTGCTCAGTCTAGTCACAGGTGTTCTGGTCTCTGAGCTACAGAAGTACTGACACTTGGTACCACTCTCTGGTCATGGATAGGTTGCTGTGTATGGTTATTTATCTTGTCTCAGCTTTATCTTGTTCCCTCCTTCATTAGCCTATAAACTCTCAGAGAGCAGGTACTCTTCCATGTCTTCCTATCCCCTGCTTTCAATTGGCAGAACATCATAGACATCCAGTAAGTGTCTAAAGATCAGTGACACCTTAAAGAGATACCCTCTCTCTTAGGTGGTGAGTTGGCTGGTTGGCCCATCTTGGGGTGAATCACATTTGTTTCCTAGCTAAGAAACACACTGTAACAGCCAATTACAGAATAAAAGAAAATTTCATGACAGCAATATTGTTTTCACTTATAAACCCATCATCCTGAAATTATCACCAATTACATATTGAGTATCCTTTATCTGAAATGCTTGGGACCAGAAGTGTTTTGGATTTCAAATTTTTTCAGGTTTTGGAATATTAGCAGTTATAATTGAGCATCTCAAATCCAGAAAGCTCCAATGAGCATTTCCTATGAGTGTCCATCACATTAGCACTCAAAAAGTTTCGGATTTTGGAGGACTTTGTATTTTGTATTTTTGGATTTGGATGCTTAACCTGTAATGAGAACAACAAACTATTTTATAATTTGTTAAAACTGGAAACAATTCGTAGCTATTATTTAAGCTTTAAGGGAAAGTGTGCTTATGCTTTTGTGTATCTGTTTAATAAACATAACATGGTTAAGGGGTGTCCACGAAGGTGAGTTTATGGAGCACCTCTGGGCTCTGAAATCCCCACCCAGAAGTCTTTTGCCCTCCATTTCTGCCTCCCTCAACCTAGACCACATGGCTGTCATTAATTCTGCATGCTAACAGCAGTGTCATCTAAATAAATAATTATGATTTTTCAATTAAGGATCCTAGGACCTCTGGGACCTAAGCTGACCCAGACATTGTGAGGCCCTATGTCCCCAAGAGGCCATGAGGCAGCAGCAGCTCTGCCCTTCACTAAACCAGCAGACCCTCTCAAATTAGAGGAGCTCTTCAGGACCTGAGGCTGTTGGCCCTAATTGCCCACTACTCACTGCCAATCACTGTGATTCAAAGACAGCAGCTCTGGGCCAGGAGTCAGGTGACTTATTATTTAATCCCAAATTCATTTATTGTCTGCTAGACTAGTGATTCTCAAACTCGAATGTGACTATTCAACACCTGGGGATCTTGCTAAAATGCAGATTCTGATTCACTAAGTCCAGGGTGGGGTCTTGAATTTTGCATTTCTAATGAGCTCCCAGGTGATGCTGATGCTGCTGATTCATGGGCTACACTTTCAGTGGCAAGGAGTTAAACCATGAGCTTTCCCCTGTGAGCTCATTTTCTTTATCTTCAATATGAAGGTGCTAGACTTGGTGATCTCTGAGGAACAGTCCAGCTCTGATTTTCTGTGATTCCAAATAACTAATAATCACAGCTTTATACTCAATATTTATAGCAGTGATATTCGTAATAGTCCAAATATAGAAACAACCCAAATGTCCGTCAAACTGTCAAAAGGATAAACAAATTATGGTATACCCATACAGTGAAAAACTACTCATCAATAAAAAGGAATGAATTACTGATACATTTAACCACATGGATGAATCTCAGGTGTATTATGCTAAGTGAAAGAAGAAAGGTAAAAAAGACTCCAGAATGCGTTATTCCATTTATATGAAATTCTAGAAGAGGAAAACTGTAAGGACAGAAATCAGATTGGTGGCTGCTAGGGGCCATGAGTCAGGGGGTGGGTATTGCTTGAGAAGGGGCACAAGGAAAGCTTTTAGGATGATGGAATTGTTAATATCATGATTTTGATGGTGACTACATGACTATATACATTTGCTAAAAGTCATCAAATTATACACTTAAAATTGGTGAATTTTATGGTATATGGATTATCCTCAAGAAAGCTGATCAACCCCCCCCCAAAACAGCAAAAAAATAGCTACTGTTTATTGAGTACCCACTATATGCCAGGCATTTTACAGAGATTGTTGCAACAATGCTTTGAGGTAGGATTATCCCCAGATTATGAAACCCAAGCTCAGAGGAAAACTGACCACTTTCAAAGAAGAGGTAGGATTTGAACCAGCTAATATTTGATGATTCCAAGACCTGGTCTACTTCTACATGGCTGTCTTGGCTCCCAGAATTCTCAGTCCCTTCTTGCAAGAGCAGTAAGTTCTAAAAGTATCCCGGGGTCATGCCTGGCTCCTGGCCTATCTGCCAGGGAATTTCACTTTAAGAGGTATTGTTATTATGTATTTCTTTGTTGAGCATGGAACCTGTTCTGTTTAGAACATGCCCCTTAAGTGATATCAGCAGCCTGGTGAGTGCAATAAATCATCAATACATACGTTGTTTTATATCATTTTTAATTAAACAAGTAAAAGTCTTATGGAGAGCGCAGAGTGTTTGTGGGGAGTGGGGATAGCAGGCCTAGTGAGAGGTGGAGCTTCTTGGTAAAGAGGTGGGGGCAGCACAGCCCCACTGGCCCTTCTCAACGTGTCTGGGGAGGCTGGAATTATTATGTTCTCCATTTTGCAGATTAAGAATCTGAGGCTCATAGGGGTTGGGTGACTTCTCTGAGGTCACACACCTTGTTAGTGGCAGAGATCAGGCTTGAAACCTATTCCTGTATACTCCCAGTTCTGTGCCTTTTCTCTTTTCCCACAAGCAAGGAGAAGAGCCCTGTCCTTAAAAAGTTTATAAGAATACAGCAGCTGCTCACAGCCATAAAAGAACACTGCAAAACCGGCAATAATTCTGTGGACTCCGTGGAGTGGCTCAGCATAAAAACAATTTAGAAAGATATGAGTCAGGGAGGGTAGAATCAGTCAAGGACTTCTTGGAGGAGGCGAGTCTTGTGTTAGGTTAGCCATGGAGGTTAGGTACAGCTAGGGCAAGCAGAGGTGGGAGAATTGTATTTGTACGCCCAGGTGTAGGTCCCTTAGAGTCACGGAGAGAAAACTTGCATGGTGCTAGGCTTGGACCTAGTTGAGATGGCTGGAAAAGGCCTCTGTTATTCTTCTCCCTCTGTTTCTATGCAGGGGGCCTGTTTGAGAAGGGGAGGCCTCAGTCACCTATGGCAGAAAGGCCAGGGAAGAGTGTCCTCAGGGCCTTCCAAATGGCCTTGTCCCTCAGCATCACCAAGGATGGCCAGCAGGTCTCTCTACTCAGGGCAAGGCACCAGATCCTGTTGTCCCATGGCTCCAGATGAGCTGCTGCATCTTATTCAGCCACCATCTCCACTCTGACATCACCCCCATCCAATACCAGGCAACCCTTCTGGGCACCCAGGAGAGCTGTTGGCTCTAGTAGCTGGTGCAGGATTAGTAATTGAGGCTCTCTCCTGAGCCCTGGGTCCATCAGGGACTAGTCCTCCTGATGCCTGCTATTATTGTATTCTGATCAATTAGTGGGGAAGAAATGAGGTCAGAGATAGCAGGTGTGGGCTTGGCTTTGTTTCTGGAGAAGGGCTGAGCTGGGTTGGGGCTGGGCTGGGGTGATGAGGAGGAGACGGTTCTTAGGGCTTTAGGCCATGAGCAGTAGAGAGGAGAGTGAACCACAACAAGTACCAGGCTTGTAGCTCAGAAGGCTTGGCCTCACTGTTGCCAGGAGATAAAAATGGCTTTTGGAAAACATTTGTGCTCCAGGCTGCACAGGGTACTGGGGTGGGCCCATTAGCCACTTAATGTCCTGGATAATGACCCTTAGCTTCCGAGAATGTCAGCTGGAAACCCAGACTCTACCAGAGGCATGGAAACCGGCCAGTATCCTTGGCCTCATGTTCAAAGCTCTTTCCAGCTACAAACCAACCTCGCCTATTTTCTCTACAGCCTTCCTCTCATGTGGCTCTGTCCTTCAGCTCTCTGAACGTGTCCTGGGCTCTCTTATTTCCCTTCCTTTGCTTAAGGTGTTGCCCACCCCTGTACTACCCTGTTCCATCTCTGCCTGGTGAAATCTTCCTCATCCTTCGTGCACCGTGTCATATGCCAGCTTCCCCAAGAAGCTTTCTGTTACAGCCCCTGTTAGAAGTTGTCTCTTGCCTCTGACCTCCAGCATGCCAGTAAAGTTTGTCTTATCCTAAGGGAATCTGAGCTTATTCTCATCTTCTTTCCCTTCCTAGGAACCCTGGAATCACAGACTGTCATGACTTGTCTAATGTGCTTTCTGGCACATGGTAGGTTCTGGTGACTGTTTGTTAAATCAAATACCCACTTGCACATATGCAAAAGCTATTTATCTGTATCACTCCGAACATCTCCTGACTGTGCAGCTTCTTTCTTCTATCTATGCCTTTGCATTTGCTCTTCCCTTTGGCTTAAGTGCCCTTCCCTGCTTTTCTATCTGGCAAGATCCAGTTCCAAATCAGGCTAACCTGTGCTCTCTTTGTATCTTTTACACCTTTCTTTGATGGCATGACTTACACTGTGCTGTGAATAAGATAGGCTTTTTGCCTTCAAAGGATTCACAGTCTGGCAGGCTGACAAATAGCTATGTTGCAGTCTTCAAATCTAGGGCTCACTCTTAGGCTCCACACTTCGGTGTGGTAAAAATTCAAATAGTATTATCAAAGCAGGTAATGAAAAGTTTCCCTTCTCTAAAATCAGAGCTTCTGCTATGTTGCACAGTTCCAGGGGACACTGTTGCCATTATGGTCTAGATATGTGGCTCCAAGTGGGCTTGCACAGTGCACAAGCTTTACCACAATACCTGGCAGCCCTGACTCAACCATTCAATTGCAGTTCCATTCCTCAGGAGTAAGACCACTGTCACATTTCTTGTGTATCATTTCAGATGTCCTATACATATCAAACATTTATGTGTATGTGTGTATCCTTTTTTTTTTTACACAAATGGAATGTCACATACAATCTTTTGCATCCTGCTTTCTTAATAATCTTGGAAATCATTTCTGATCAGAACATCTGGATCTACTCTATTTTTTACTACATTATTTTAAATAGCAGTATAATATTCATGACATGTGTGTGCCACAATGTAATCACTCCCCAACTGATCAACATTTAAGTTGTTTCAATTTTCTTTAGCACTCCAAACAGTACTGCAACAAACATTCTCACAGGTACAATTTTAAGCACTTGTTTGAATTTGTCTGTGGGACAAATTCCTAGAAGTTGAATTGCTGAGGAAACAGAGGGCATATGTGTTTCAAATTTTGATGGACATTACCAAATTTCCCTTCAAAGACTGAGCTGAGTCATCTAAGATGAGTAAGAACTACTGAGACAAAGCCATGGGCAAAAGGAACAGCATGGAAAGAGGTTTGGGTTGGGTGCAGTGGCTCACACCTGCAATCCTAGCACTTTGGGAGCCCTAGGCTGGTGGAATGCCTGAGCTCAGGAGTTGGAGATCAGCCTGGGCAACATGGCGAAACCCCATCTCTACAAAAATTAGCCGGGCGTGGTGGTGCACATCTGTAGTCCCAGCTACTTACGGGGCTGAGGCAGGAGGATCGCTTGAGCCCAGGAGGTTGAGGCTGCAGTGAGTCACATTTGCACCACTGCACTCCAGCCTAGGTGGCAGAGCAAGACACCGTCTCTAAAAAAAAAAAAGAAAAGAAAAAAGAGAGAGAGAGAGAGAGAGAGAGAGGGAAAAGAAAGAGTTTTGATGGGGGTTTGACAAAACACAGCCTGTTTGGAGGAACTGAGTCATACTTTGTGATTGTAAAGAAAAAATTAAGCATGGTGATTGGTGAGGATAGCCTCTGTGAGGCAGTGGCTAAGTCACCCAGGGCATCATGGGTTGGCTTAAGTCACAGAGGTTGGCAAATGATGGCTTGCTGGCTGAATCTGGCTCACTGCATGTTTTTGTAAGTTGAATTTTATTGAAACACAGCTATGTTCATGTATTTATTTACCGTTTATAGCCACTTTTGCTACAATGGCACACTTGAGTAGTTACAACAGAGTCCATTTGCCTGCAAAGCCTAAAATAATTACTTTGTGGCCCTTCACAGAAGTTTTCTGGCCTAAGAAGTTAGATTAGCCTGAGAACAGTGGCAGGCCTTTGACGGTTCCACAGAGAAGAGAGACATAGTCAGTTTGGTATTTTTGAAAGATCACTTTGTTGCTGTGCAGAGAGAGGATTGGGATGGGGCAAGGGCTGAAAGATCAGGGAGGAGGCTAGTGCAGTGACTCAGGTGAGAGGTCATGGGGCCTGGAATAAGACAGAGGAAATGGGATGGAGAGAAGAGGATGGACTTGCTAGGTATTTGAGAGGGCTTGGAGAATGGTTGAGTGTCTGAGTGGGGAAGGCGGGGAAGTCAAGGATGTTTGGGAAGATGTTCTGGTGTTGTGTTCTGATGTTGACATGGCGGCCGGCAATTCAGGCACCCCAAGGCCTCCAGCTCTATTCTGGCTGTTGGTGCCGGTACTCAGAGTGGGGCTGTCTCTGATCCAGGGTCTCTGGTCTCCTTTGACTTGAAGGAACAACCTCGTCTAACCCTCAAGCTGGCACTAGCAAAAGGAGACATAGAGATGTCTTCTAAGATTGTGCTCAATTTTCATCTTCATTTAAAGCACTAATTTGGCTTTTATTTTTATTTTATTTTACTATTTTATTTTGTGTGTGTGTGTGTGTGTGTGTGTGTGTGTGGTTTTTTTTTTTTTTTTTTTTTTTTTGAGACAGAGTCTAGCTCTATTGCCCTGGCTGGAGGGCAATGGTGTGATCATAGCTCACTGCAACCTCTGCCTCCTGGGTTCAAGTGATTCTCCTGCCTCAGCCTCCCGAGTAGCTGGGATTACAGGCATGAGCCATCGTGCCCGGCTAATTTTTGTATTTTTAGTAGAGATGGTGTTTTGCCAGTTTTAGCCAGGCTGATATCGAACCCCTGACCTCAAGTGATCCGCCTGCTTCGACCTCCCAAAGTGTTGGGATTACAGGCGCGAGCCACTGCACCTGGCCAGCTTTGATTTTTCAGTCTAACTCATCTCCTTGCTTTTCTTTCCATTTAAACGTTTATTAACAAGATGACTCAAATTATTCATGAAGTGGTGGGGAGCTTGGACTCCTGGGCCAGATCAGGCTACTATTTTTTTTTTTTTTGAGATGGAGTCTCGCCCTGTCACCCAGGCTGGAGTGCAGTGGTGTGATCTCGGCTCACTGCAAGCTCCGCCTCCCGGGTTGACACCATTCTCCTGCCTCAGCCTCCTGAGTAGCTGGAACTACAGGCACCTGCCACCATGCCCGGCTAATTTTTTTGTATTTTTAGTAGAGATGGAGTTTCACTGTGTTAGCCAGGATGGTTTCGATCTCCTGACCTCATGATCTGCCCGCCTCGGCCTCCCAAAGTGCTGGGATTACAGGCGTGAGCCACCACTCCCAGCCTATTTTTTTTCTTTTGCTCAGTTTCATAAAGATAATCCCCTGATCACTTCCCACAGAGAATGCTTTCCTCTGTCTTTGAGCTGGTAGGGGTACCTCAATAAAATCAGAAATATAGAAAGCAGGCGAAGAACTGAGAACAATGGTTTACTAGAATTTGGAAGGGTGGTGACAAGAGATTTAAGGGTTGGAATCAGCCTTTCCAGAAGTCAGTAACACAGTTTCAGAACCACTCTCCAAGTCATAAGGATTATATTCTAATCATAACACAAGATAGACCGTAGTTGTTCGTACAAATCCAGAGCATAAAGAAGAAGCTTAGTTCAAGGGGCTTGTGGTAGTAATTGCTCTGATTTTTAGGACAGAGCAGTCTGGGACATTCTCTGGAAGTTTTAAAGTTGATATGACCTACAGAGGAGCAGAGATGAGAGAAGAGGAAGAGGGAGGAAGAGCAGAGGACAGAGAAAATGAGAAATTGATTAAGAATAGAGATGGAGAAGAGGAAACTGAATAGGTTCCTATGTGTAGTAGTTGCAGGTATGCTCTTTGCTGTGCCAGGACACCACACTCATGACTCATTTATGCCTTTTAATAATTCTGGAGTGTGGGTAGCATCACCATCACAGTACACACGAGGAAACTGAGGCTCAGGGAAAGTTGCACAGAGAGCAACTTGTGCAAAATCCCCCAGAGAGTAAGTGGTAGACGTGGGGCTCGAACCCAGGACTAATTGGCTCCAAAGCCTGGGCTCTTTTTTCCACACTCTATGGGGCTGAGAGTGGGTAATGGATAGGACAGAAGGAAGAGCAGTTCAGGAAGGCAACAGGGCTGGAGGAGACTCACAAAATCCACAGCACTCGCCAAGCCCAGCTACTCGTGCCTGAGCAGCTGGCTGATTTTTTCATAAAATAAAAGAAGTCCCTGAATTGAGAAATATGTGTGTCTCCTAGATTGGATTGTGCAGTGAACAGTAGCCAGAGCGAGCAGTAATCCATCATGGCCTGGCGTTGGCGGGTGCTGCCAGCTGAAGCCCTGGTGGAACTGTCATGAAGGTGACCTTGGCAGGGAAAGCCAGGGCCCAATGTCTAACTGCTTCCTGGTAGTCAGTGTGGGGTGGAAGGGAGTGGGATGACAAGTTTCCTCTTCCCTACTGGTAACCTATTTTCCCCTATTTTTTTTTTCCAGCTTTTTACATGCTGCACCAATACTGGGTCTAGCTGCAGCTTGGCTGGGTCGCAGAGGCTGAAGAGGGAGCTAAGCCTGGAGAGCTGGGTTAAGTCAGACAGACCCAAAATCTCTTACACTGAGTCTCAACTTATTGTCCCTTGTGACTCCAAGGTCAACTTCCCTTCCCTGTTGGCTGAGGATCCAGGTGTGGAGCCAGTCAGCCAAGATGGGCCCTGGAGGGCCTCTCCTCACCCAGGGAAGGGGAGTGGTTTAAGGAGTTTGGCTGTATAATCAATCAGACCTGAGTTCAAGTCCTTGCTTGGCTGCCTACTTACTATTTATGTGACTTGGGCATTAACCTCTGACCCTCTGTTTCATTACCTGTAAAATGGGAATTATTAGTATACTTAGGAGGAATAAGTAAGGTAATACAGATAAAGTCAATAGTTAAATGCCTAATGCACAACCATATTTTGCTTAAATGATAGTTATTATAATTATTTTCTTTATGCCTCGGGGTCACTCTTTTGGATGGATTCATTAAGTCTGTTTCACAGAGACCCAAAGAGGCTCCTCTATGCTTTTGTGAGTTTAGAAGAGAGGGTGCAAAAGGCTTGTTTTCTGAAACCAATGCAAGTTTTGATATCTTATAATCTGCAGCATTGTTGGGGTTTCTGATCTCCTGAATTCTTGGCTACTATAAACTAAGTGCTCACTATGTTCCAGGCACAGCGTTAAACTTTTTGCAAGCAGTAGCATTAGTTAGGTTGTCATTAGCTGCTATAACAAATAAGTCCATGAAAGCATATGTTTCAACCACTATAGAAGTTTATTTCTTTCTCTGATAAAGCCCAGAATGGGTGTTTTGACTGATGGGAAGCTCTCCTTCAAGAGGTGAGTCAGACCAGGCTCTTTATATACTGTGGCTCTTCAAGTTCAACATGTGGCTCTAGAGGCATGCTCTAAATCTACACCCAGTGGCAGAAGGGGAAAGAGCATGGAAGTTTTTTTTTATGTGCCAGGTCAGGAAGTAGCATACATCACTTACGCTCAGATTCCATTGTTCGGGATGCAGATGTATGGCTAATCCTAATGACAGGAAGACTGGAAAGTGTAGTCTAGCCATGTGCCCAGGAGAAGAGGACATGGGTTTGGTAAAGAGCTAGCCAGTCTCTATCATGCATTATCATCCCATTTTATTTTTACAACAATTGAAAGAAAGGTGGGAGGGAGTGTGGGAGGGAGGTGGGGAGAGGAAGAGAAAGAGGGAGAGGCAACTCCTTCTGTCTTAGCCAGCACTTTGCCCTGAGTTCCGTTTCAACATTCCAACATATACCTGGTTCTTTAACCCTGCTGATCCCAGTTGATACCCCTTTTATCCCCTCTTTCCCCAATTTAAGTTCTCTTGTTCTAATTATTCTCTGTAGGTTGCCAGATATTTGTATAAGAGTCAAAGTGTCTACAAATGGTTTTCTATAGTATATCATAGTAGATGGTGAAGATGATCTAAAATAGGCAACACTTATTGAGTGCTGATGAGATGCCCCAAAATTCCCAAGCATTTTACATGTATTAACTTGTTTAATCTTCACAACCATTTATGAGATAGGTTCTATAAGATCCCATTTTACAGATGAGAAAACTGAGACAAAGAGAGGTTACATAACTTCCCCAAGGTTACCCAATGGTGGAGCCAGAATTGGAATCCAGCCAGTCTAAGTCTAGAATCTGTGCTGTGGATACTGTTGTTACTGTGGGCCAGGCTTGGAGCAAAATGATCCCTATGAATTAACTACAAATCCATGAGGAGGAGATTATTGTTGTCATTGTCCTTACTTTATGTATGATGGGATCAAAGCTCAGAGGAGTTAATCAACTTGTCCAAGGTCACACAACTAGAAAGTAACAGGTTTGAATGATAACAACGTCAAAACTCTTCATCACTGAACTATAAGAACAATAAGGAGGTGGAGCCATA
Organism: Homo sapiens; assembly: GCF_000001405.40. Taxonomy (NCBI): domain Eukaryota; kingdom Metazoa; phylum Chordata; class Mammalia; order Primates; family Hominidae; genus Homo; species Homo sapiens. Next base: position 50,293,646 of record NC_000001.11, on the reverse strand, counting down.
ATCATATTTTCATTTTCCACTGGGAAGTAGAAAGACTTTTTTTAAAGGATGAAAGGGCAGATGGTTAGTGTGCCATTTCAGGTGGTTTGTGTATATTTCAGAGAGAAGGGCAAGCCCTGAGGGAGTGGAAGGGCCCTCCAGTTTGCTGAATGTGACAAGGAGCCCTGAGTCCGTCTGAGTCCCATTCACATTCTCATACCTGCCTAGTCTGCCTAGTCTTGCAGAAACTTGTACATATTAGCATCCAACAAATCTATGTTTAAATCCCAGGTTTGCCCTTTATTCCCTGTGTGGTCTTTAACAAGACTGAACTTCTCTGAGTCTCATTTTCTTCCTTCCTTCCTTCCTTCCTTCCTTCCTTCCTTCCTTCCTTCCTTCCTTCCTTCCTTCCTTCCTTCCTTCTTTCCTTCCGTCCTTTCTTCCTTCCTTCCTCTGCCTTCTTTTCTTTTCTTTTCTGATATAGACTTGCTTTGTTGCCCAGGTTGGAGGGCAGTGGCACAATCTCAGCTCACTGCAACCTCCGCCTCCCAGATTCATTTTGGTCATCAGCCCCACCCCCGAGTAGCTGGGATTACAGGCATGTGCCACCTCGTCCACCTAATTTCTTTTTTTGTATTTTTAGTAGAGATGGGGTCTCACCATGTTGAACAGGCTGGTCTGGAACTCCTGGCCTCAAGTGATCCACCCACCTCAGCCTCCCAAAGTGCTGGGATTACAGGTGTGAGCCACTGGGCCCGGCCTTATTTTCATATTTCTAAAATGGTAATAATAGTGTCTGTCTGCATTGGAGGGGTTTGGGGTGTGTGTGTGTCTGTGTGTGTATGTGTGTGTGTGTGTGTGCATGTATGTGTTTATAGTGTCCTTCGCAGAGTCTGGCACACACTAGGTGCTTAATGAATAGTTGCTTTTGTCATTGTGCCAGCTGAGAAGCTGGGTAGCTGGCCCATTACCTCAAAGCAGAAGATGGACAGCAAGCAGAGGTGCCATCCTCAGGTGACATGCATAACAGTCCTCTCAAGATGAGGAAACTGAGGCTGAGATGCAGGGGATTGACTTTGTCCCCTTTGACACAGCCAGTGAGTGGCAGCAGCAGGACCCCTGGCCCAGAACTCATTCCGTGGCTCAGCCTCAAACCACGGCCTTCCGAGTCCATGCTTTGCAGCTGTTCTCTGATGGGTCGAATGACAAATGCTGACCCACAGAGCCACTTGTTGAAAGATAAATGGCGACTGAGCCTTGTGCAGTGAGTTGGAGCTACTTCTTCCTGTCTTTTTCAAGGTCTGGGGGTTATAATGGGCGAGTCAGATAGATAGTCATGGCGTGGGAGCCTACTACGGGGACCCAGCCGATAACCTGCCCCTGTTTGTTGTTCCCAGGTCTGGCTAAATGCATGAGGATTAAATTCCTTATCTATCAGGATCCCATTGGCTCTCGGATGCTTTGTGGTTCCCTCCATCCAGAAGATTAACTACTCCTTTTGACCAAGACTGGCCTAATGTGGCTGATTTTTTTTTCTGAGAAGATGCTGCTCACTTATGCCCCCCATCTTTCAACTGTCTCACTGGCCACTCCACATTCTCCCTAATGGGGGCCCTGCAGCAGCCTCTGCTTGGCCCCCCTGCCTCCCATCTGGCCCCCTCCAACCCACTCTCCACATTGAAGCCAGATTTAGTTTTTTTGCCAAATCCAGCCATGTCACTCGCCTATCTAAAATACACTTTTGGCTTTTCTCTGCCAATTGAATAAAACTCCAAATTTCTTTTTTTTTTTAATTATACTTTAAGTTCTAGGGTACATGTGCACAACATGCAGGTCTGTTACATATGTATACATGTGCCATGTTGGTATGCTGCACTCGCCAACTCGTCATTTACATTAGGTATATCTCCCAATGCTATCCCTCCTCCATCCCCCCACCCCACGACAGGCCCTGGTGTGTGAGGTTCCCCACCCTGTGTCCAAGTGTTCTCATTGTTTAATTCCCACCTATGAGTGAGAACATGCGGTGTTTGTTTTTCTGTCCTTATGATAGTTTGCTCAGAATGGTGGTTTCCAGCTTCATCCATGTCCCTATAAAGGACATGAACTCATCCTTTTTTATGGCTGCATAGCCTTCCATGGTGTATATGTGCCACATTTTCTTAATCCAGTCTATCATTGATGGACATTTGGGTTGGTTCCAAGTCTTTGCTATTGTGGATAGTGCCTCAATAAATATACGTGTGCATGTGTCTTTATAGCAGCATGGTTTATAATCCTTTGGATATATGCCCAGTAATGGGATGACTGTGTCAAATGTATTTCTAGTTCTAGATCCTTGAGGAATCACCACACTGTCTTCCACAATGGTTGGACATCTTGGGGGAAGGTTTCTCTTTCTTTCCAGAGAGGAATGCTTCCAAAGCCACTGAGACTGCTCACGAGCTGGAATTCAAGACCTGGGAAAAACCTACGGTGTGTGTGTGGTAGAGAAAGATGGGGGCAGGGCCCATTCCCTGTGAGAGTCTTCCTTGGATAAAATTGGAAATTTAACAACAGATGGATGATGGTTGAGGACACAATGGTTGAAGACTGTGGCGATTCCTCAAGGATCTAGAACTAGAAATACCATTTGACCCAGTCCTCCCATTACTGGGCATATTCGCAAAGGATTATAAATCATGCTGCTATAAAGACACATGCACACGTATGTTTATTGTGGCACTTGTGGAAAACTCCAAACTTCTTGATGGGGCATATGAGTCTCACTCTTCACAGTCTGACCCCTGCCTGCTCCTCCTCCATTGTCTCCTACATTCCTTACCGGCCTTGTTCCCTCAACATGCCCCATACCTGCCCAATTCCAGGCCTTTGTCCTTGCTGTTCTCACTGCCTGCAGTGACTGTTCCTCTTAATCTAGCTGGCTAAAACTCCAAGGCCTCCAAAATACCTCCTCCTTCTTCAATAGCCCCAGATTCATCCAAGCCTGGGCACTCCTCCTTCACTGGACTCTCATAGCATTTTGCATGCAGTTCTTTTATAGCATTTGTCTCATTGTGTGATGACTGCTTGCTTGTCTCTCAGCCTTGGCTCCCCAGCAACCCACTGGGCAGTAAATTCCTGGAGGACAAGAGCTTGAGTCTCCTTTGTTGCTGTATTCAGGTCTAATAGCTGGGCTGTACAAATAGAGCCCTGCTGGTTGTCAAAATACTGAAATATTTTTATGTTGGCTGGCAAATAGCTGTCTTGTCATCTCCTCTAGGATCCTCAGCCCTCCCATGGTCAAGCAAGTGCAGGGTTAATGGTGAGCATAGCAGGGTCTCCAGATTGGTCAGTGCCTTGGGTTGAGCCTGTTGTTAAATGTCCAGTTTTACCCAGGGAAGATTCTCACAGGGAGTGGGCCCTGCCCCCATCCTTCTCTACCAGACACACACCCTAGGTTTTTCCCAGGTCTTGAATTCCAGCTCATGAGCAGTCTCAGTGGCTTTGGAGGCATTACTCTCTGGAAAGGAACAAACCTTCCCCCAAGATGTCCAGGTCTGAGGGCGTGATCCCTCCTGTGGCACCCAGCTCTGAGGCAGGCATTAAAGGCTTTAGATTTCAGGCCACAGGCTCTGGGCTGGGGAGGACTTGGCAGCTCGGCTCAGTTGTGGAGCATATGTTGTGGGCCTGGCACCAAGAAAGGCACTGGGGCTCCAAGAGCTGCACTGGGGTGGACCATGCCAGTTTGGAGCTCACAGCCTGGGTGTGGGGACAGACACATAAGCAGATAATGACAACACAGGGTGATACAGAGGTGGGGGGCTGCAGGGGACCTCAGGAGGGCCAGGATCAGGGAGGGCTACTTGAATAATGGAGAGCGTGCGTTGGAGCTGAGTCCTGAAGAATGACACAGAGGAGACCCACCTGGCCCCAAGGTCACTCCCTTCAAGCCACTCCCCTCCTGGAAGGCAATGCCCAGTCATTGCTCTGTCTCATTTCTGGGCTTCGCCTGTCAAACCACAAACCACAGTGTGAATAATGACATCAATAATAACCATACCTAAATAATGCTTACTATATTTTACATGTTTGATTTGTGGTAAGTCATTTAGTTTTCATGATGACCATATAAGGTAGGTGCAATGAATACTCTTCTTTTTTAGATAGGGAAACTGAGGCACAGAATATTTTTGTAATTTATCCAAGGCCTCAGCAGTAGAATGTGGTAGAGCCAGGATTCAAACCCAGACAGCCTAGCTCTAGGATCTCTATGGGCATAACCACCACACCATACCGCCTCACACTAGCTCCCAGGATCACTGTTGGGGCCCTGGCCTCCCGTGATCAGCAGCAGGAGAGGATACCTCAGATATCTGGAAGGTCTTTTCCCCAGAGCGTATCATGTGGTTGGTAGTCCCCATGGTCTCAGGCACCAGACACCTCTGACATGAGCTCTTGAGGGTCCAGGTGCTTTGTGTGTCTGTCAGGTCTGTGACCCACTGTCAGGTCTGTGACCCACACTGACCAATTACAACCCCCACCTTGAAGCCAGTGGTAAGTTCACCACCCACGGGAGATTCCAGGAGCCCAGCTCTGATGGAGGGTCCCTGAAGCTGCAAGGTCCATTGCCCAAACCTGTCTCATTCTTTCCTGTGTCCATGTCCTCACAATGCCCCTCCTCTCCTCTCAGAGAAGGATGCATGCAGGAGGTGACATTTAAGTTGGATCATGAAAGGTGAGGAGGCGTGTTACACACAGAGGAGAGGGGCACAGACATTTCAGGTGGAAAGAGTGAGCCAAGTACAGGTGTGGGTGCGTGATGTGTTTGGGGAAGGGGGAATGCCAAGGCTGGGATAATAAGGTTGGGAAGGTAGGTTGGGGCTATGGCCTTGGCCTTTAGTCAGTAGGCAATGGGTGGCCACTAAAGAGCCTGGAGCAGGGAAGTTAAATGGGCATGCTGGTGTTTTAGAAACACCATAGGGGATGGTTTCACAGGGAGGGACTGGTGGCAGTCCCGGAGGGAGGCTGGAGCTATAGTCCCCTTTTGATAATGGCCTGAATTGAGGTGGTGACAGAGAAGGGGAAGACCAGAGATGCTTTTTAGAACCTGGGACTGTTGATAGTGGGATGAAGGAGGGCAGGAGTTGAAGCTTGACCCCCAGGCTCCTGGCTTGGGTGACTGGGACTTGGTTCCCCAGGTGGAGGGGTGCATGTGGGTAGAAGGTGGTGAGAAGGCTTTGGACTCTGACTTAGGTGGAGCCCTGGTGAAGTCTCCTGGATGCTTACCTAAAGAGGTCAACACAAGAGCAAGATCTGGTCTAGAGACAAAGATCTGAGAGTCCTCAGAGGAGGCTGGAACCTGAATCCCTGGAAGGTGTGAAATCCTCCAAGGAGAGTGTGTTGGTGACACCAGAAAGGAGAAGCAGTGTCTGGATCCTGAGAAATGCCAGCAGTTCAGGGGAGGGCTGTAGAGATTAAACCGTAAGGAATAATTCATTCACTCAACAAACTGAATGCCTCCTATGTGCCAGGCTCTTGTCTGTGAATACTGTGAATGTAGCAGAGAACAAGGCAGAAAAAACCCTGCCCCATGGCAGTACACTTGAGTGGGAAGAGGCAAACAAAAGTAGGACATACTACAGTGATAAGTGCTATGGAAGCTGATTAAGCAAAGGAGGTTGGAGGGTCAGATTGGGCAGCAATGGTAAATGGAGGAGGTGCCACTGAAAAGGTGACTTGGAATAAAGATTTGAAGTAGGTGAGCAAGGTGGATTTTGGGGGAAGACTTCTAGAAAGAGGAAACAGCAAACACAAAGACTCTGAGGCAGGAGTGTGTCTGGTATGTGGGAAAAATAGCCAGGAAGCCTTGCGGCTATCATAAAAAATGTAAGTATTATTATTGCATAATTATTATGTAGTTTTGGTATCTACCCCTGCTGTGTACTGTAATGAGTTTTGTAGGGGTAAGCTTGAGTAAGCCCCTTGACTCTCTATGCCTTAGTTACCTCATCAATACAATGGGGATAATAGTATCTACTTATAAGTAGAATTAAATGAGTCAATGTGTGTAAAGTACCTAGCACAGTGCCTGGCACAGAGTGTTTACTGCTATTATTATTATTTATTATTATTATTATTATTATTTTTTGAGACGGAGTCTCACTCTGTCACCCAGGCTGGAGTGCAGTGGTGTGATCTCGGCTCACTGCAAGCTCCACCTCCCAGGTTCACGCCATTCTCCTGCCTCAGCCTCCCGAGTAGCTGGGACTACAGGCATCCGCCACCACGCCTGGCTAATTTTTTGTATTTTTAGTAGAGATGGGGTTTCACCCTGTTAGCCAGGATGGTCTCGATCTCCTGACCTCGTGATCCGCCCGCCTTGGCCTCCCAAAGTGCTGGGATTATAGGCGTGAGCCACTGCACCTGGCCATTATTAATTATTATTATTATTATCCTTATTATTTTTATCACCATCATCTCCCTCTTTCTAGACTTTGAACCCTTTAAGGACAGTGGCTGTGTGTGGTTCTTCCTTGCAGCCCAGGGCCAGCCCATGGCAAGTCTCACAGTATGGGCTCGATAAGGGGAGGGGTTTGGGTAGAACAAATGAAAGAATAAATGGCAGGACATGGAAGGCAGCCAGGTCCCTTCTTGCCCTACTCCCGCAGCTCCCAAGACCCCCCAGAGCGGGACAGAGCCTGGGCTGGCTGGGGCTCAAAGCGGCCCATCCTTAAGTCAGTGTGTGCAAAGCCTCCAGGCCTGACAATGTATTTGTTATTAAGGTAATAAATAAACAAGTTGCTTGTCAGCACGGGGACTGGCACAAATGCCTTAGAAGATAAATACTGCCTCTGAAATAGACAAATATTTACCATCCTCCAGACAAAGTTGTCAGCCCTGCTAAAGGCCTCCAGGGCTTAGAATAAAGTGAACATTAAGATATTTTTGTTTTACCCTAATGGAAATATATTTGTGTACTTCTTCAGAGCAAAGAATGTGAAACTGCCTGTCCTTGAGCACTCACTATATGCCTGGGCCTTCCCACAAGCTCACCACAACCCTTTAGGGCAGGGATTGTGATCATCATTTTATAGATGAGGAGACTGAGACTTGAATGAGTTAAGTGACTTGCTAAAGGCCACACTGCTGGAGATGGTAGAGCTAGGATGAATCTGACTCCCAGACCCGGCTCTGGGTTGGAGCTTCCTGTAGCCAATGTGTTGAGATCCTTAGCTCAGTGGGTAGAGTGGAAGGTAGGAAGACAAGCTCCCCTCAGGATGCTGGGGCTGCTTTTGCTTCATGGAATAGACAAATGGAGCCCATGAGGGTCTGTGCACCAGAGTGAGGTGGTCCTGGGAGGTTGGAGGAAGTTGTTTGAATTATAAGACTGGGAGTGTCAGAGATGGCAGAGGCCTTTGAGGTGGAGCATCTCCTGAGTGTGCAGGTAGAGTGATTGCAGCACCTCCATGCCAGATTGCGAAGGTTCGATCCTAGCTCTGTCAATCATTAGCTGCATGACCTTGGGCAAGTTACTCAGCTCTCTGTGTTGCTGTTTGTTTCTCTGTAAAAGGAACGTAATAATAGCTTACCTTGAAGGGTTATTAAAAGGATGCAGAAAGTGGGTAGGTACAAAGTACTTAAACTGTGCCCGACACATACCAAACAATAAATATTAGTTATGATTATTATCACTATTGAGTTGTTTGTGTGTCAATCATTCATTCAGCAAAATTTATGTGCCTGAAGCAGATGCCATCAGTGCCCATTCACATGCACCTGGCATTGACCAATTCTGAGCACAAGGGGCAGGCTAGAAGTACTGGGGCGTTAACACTACACCTCCCTCTGGCCCCCACTGCCCAGAGCAGCTCTCAGCCAATGTGTATAGGAGCTGGTGGACAGAAACCCCACTTCTTCCTTTGGGTGGGATAACTCTGAGACAGGAGTCCTACACTGGCTCCCAGAGTTAGGTTCTAGTTACTCATGGAGGTAACTTGCTTGAAAAATGCATCTTTGTTGGTGCTTTCCCTACTCTATCTCACCTCTCAATGTCCCTTCAGTGTCAGTTGGGGTCATTTCCCAAATTCACTACCTGCACTTGAGTCCTTGCTTTAGAATCTGCTTCTGGGGAAACCCAAAGTAAGGCAATTCCTAAAATGCATCAGACCCTGTGTTTGGGACAGCTGAGCCAGATGAAGTGGGGATGGGGAGATGGGGAAGGAATTTCTAGCAGAGGGAACAGCATCTGCAAAGACACAGAAGTGAGCAAACTATGCTTGGCAAAGGGTGAGGAGAGCAATATGGCAGAGGCAGAGGGCTAACTGCCTTAAAATTCAAATTTAAGTTTGGCCATGATGTGGACAGGCTTAGGGAAGATCCCTCTGATGGCTGTGAAGAAGAGTCTGCTCAATCACCCCAATTTAAATATTTGAGGACTTGTTTGGCAAAGGATGGGGTGTCCATCTGCATTTTTTTCCTGGAAGTCCCCAACAATGTTCATTAGCTTGAGGATGGTTTTAACTAGTTGAACTTCATTAGAAAACACCAGTAATTGTTGACGAACCCCATTACAGCACCTAAAAGCTGTGAAGGCAGCTGAACAACTTCTGGAATTGGTACAGACAAGAGGCTCAGCTCAGTCCTAGGGAGCTCAGAAATGAGCTCTGCTCCCCACAGGGGTCAGCGGCAGAGCCTGGCCTCTTCCTCTCCCTAGACAAAGCTTTCCTTTTCTCATGTCCCTCCTCCCAAAGCATCCCTTCTACACACACACACACACACACACACACACACACACACACACACACACACGTTCTTCTCATGCCTCTGCAGTCGTTTTTGGATGCTTGCTCTCTTTGTCATCCACTTCAGCAAAAAGTCCCTGAGCTTGTACTCATGCAGGATTCTGTGCGAGGCCCCAGAGACCCACAGATGCCTCAGATGTAGGTCTGTGCCCCAGAGAATCTCCCACTCTGGACAAGGAGATAGATATGTACATTGAGAAGGGCAATGTGGTCAAGAAGATGTTTCAACAGAAATTCAGAGGGAGGGATGAATTAAATCTAGGGAAGAATTCATGGAAATCATTTTAACACCAGTGAAGTCAAGGTAGGGTTTTGAAGGATGCAGAAGTGTTGGGTACTGCTCTTCCTTGATCAGGCGTGTGCCTTCCTAAGAGGATGAGCATCAGACTCTGCCCAACTTTCAGCTTCTTCCTCTATCTCAGACCCCTCCACAGCCAGGTACATTTAGGCCCTCCCTGTCCTCAGCCACACTTTGAGTCTCACCCATCCTGGTGGGAAGCAGGAAGTGCCTGAGAGCCTTGGCCTGGGACCAGCACAACCCCTCCTCACCACTTTGCTTTTGAACTCCTGAGCTGGAGCTCCCCTCCCAACCTTGGGGCTTCTTTAGTTTCCCTAGGGAGACCCTTGCATTTCATGCTCTTTTACCTCATATGGCGCCTTTGCCTTAGTCCTCCATCCTGGGTGGATACAGTCTGAATTTCCCCTTCTAATTTGTGACTCTTACATGAGCCTCAGTCATAAAGTTCTCTTTGCCATTACTCCCAAGGTTCTTGGAGCCCCACTGTAGAAAGACTGCTGATATCCCAGAATTCCAAGGTGGATGTGCAGATGAGATTTCCAGTGACACCCAGCAGACTTCACGCAGAAGGTGGCATAGTGTAGAGACGGGGCATTCATGCTTTACCCTTAGAGAGGCGTTGCTTTGAATCTGCATCTGCCCCTTCTTTTGCCTTTGGTGAGTAACTAACCTCTCTGAGCATCATTCACCTCTTGTGTAAAATGGGGACATAATAACCTGCCTTACAATAGTAAGACATAATTACATAAAAGCCTAGGTTTAGTACCTCTCAGGGTGTGAGGAGGAAAAGATGGCCTCATGCCTCCCATCAACACCCAAATAGCTATCTACCTCTGGCCTGGAATCCTCCCTGCAGAGCTGGGGCATCCTATTTCACCTGCTTTATTCCTTTGCTGTCTCCCCCTCTAGATTATGAGATCCCTGATGGACTCCAAATCCATTATCTGATTTATTTTATATTTAGGATATGAGGTGGGTCCAGAGAGGTGGTGTGAGGGTCTCAGGGTCATACAGACAGGTAGAATCTGAGTGGGTCCTTGGACCTGGGTCTGGCTGAGTCCCTGCTCAAATATGTTAGAGCCTGGGAGATTCTGAAACATTCTGATAGACTATTCTGCAGATGCTGAATATTTCAATCAATCAACATGGTTCCAATCTCAGTTTCTCTCTACTAACATTCAAAATTTGCAAAAATTCAGAAGTTGTGAGTGGGCCTGAAATTTACCTTTGCATTTTCCATGAAAAGTCTTAGCAAAGGTAATTATTTCTGAAGAAAAAATGTGTGTGGGGATGTTTAATTTATGATAACTATATTAACATGATGTACCCATAGCAAAGATTAATACTCATTCTAAGCATGGCTTTGATGGGCAATAGAATATGCCACTTGTAGAGATGTGGGACAGAACATACTTACTTACTTTCATCCTGAAATTCCCTTTTTAATTTGTCAAACGGCTCTGAGCTCCTCCCCTACAGCCACACTAATTCTGACTGTTTCTTTTTCACGTGCTTTTATAATGGGAGAGCCCCCGGCCCCTGCCAGCCACTATGCCTTATTAATGTTGAAGATGAGGGCAGAGGGGTGAAAGGAAAGAGTCCTGAAGCCCAGTCCTAGATCCTCCACTGATTCTTTGTGTCCTTGGACAAGTTATTTAACCTTTCTGAGCGCTTGAGTGGCATTCAAATCTCTCTTTCTCCCAACTCCTTTTTCATGGCCTCAGATCTCATTTATATTCCACACATCCCTAAGCCTTCCAGCCAAATAGACTTACTTCCCATTCCAGGAACATGCCCCATGCTCTCTTCTGTCTTCACCAGGAATGTTTTCCTTTCTTTGCCATTAAAATCCCATGCATTTTTAAAGACTCAAATGAGAAACTTTTCCATTAAGTTTTTCTCCCAGTAGGCTGTGAGCCTCCCACTAGAATCACATTCTGCCTGGCACTAGAATTCTTGTAAACATATTTTTTCCATCACTAGATTGTAAGCTCCTTGAAGGTAGAGTCAATATCTTCTATAACCACTCAAATCCACATCGTAGACTCAGAATGTATGGCTGTAAGTGGAGGAGCTGGAATTCACAGTTGTGGGTTTGACTGCAAAGCCCCTATGTGATGGTTCATTTTATGTGTCAACTTGGCTGGCTGAGGGATACCCAGATGACTGGTAACACATTACTTCTTGTTGTGTTTGTGAGGGTGTTTCCAGAAGACGTAAACATTTGAATCAGTAGACGAGTAAAAAATATCTCCCTTATCAGTGTGGGCAGGCATCGTCCAATCCGCTGAGGGCCTGAATGGAAAAAAAAAAGGTGGAGGAAGGGCAAATTCACGCTCTCTACTTGAACTGGGACATCCTTTTTTTTTCTGCGTTTGGACTTCAGAGCTCCTCGTTCTGAGACCTTCAGACTCTGACTGAATCATACCACTGACATTCCTGGTTCTCTACCTTGCAGACAGCATATTGTGGGGCTTCCTGGCCTCTATAATCGTATGAGTTAATTCTCATAATAAATCCCCTGTTATCTATCTATTATCTATCTATCTATCTATCTATCATCTATCTATCTATCTATCTATCTATCTATCTATCATCTATCTATCTATCTATCTATCTATCTATCTATCTATCTATCTATCTATCTATCTAATTGGTTCTGTTTCTCTGGAAAATCCTGAATAATATAACTTGCTTCTACATCCTTATGGAATGGATGAAAGAACCTCAGTTTCCCTGGCTTCCAAATGCAAATAATGTTCTGTGCTTTGTGTTACCTGTAAGGGCAAATCATAAACTCTAAAGCTCTCTTCTTCCCAGGGGGTTGCAGGATGGCACTGGCTTTCTTGGACGAACAGCCTGGAAATTCAGCAGGAATTCAGTAGCAGATCTATTTTAGGGACTTCACCATGGAGCCCACTACTGGATCTTGGGGATGTTCAGGCTTGAGACTGACTATTTCCTATTTCTGGGCTTTGGGGGTGGGTGGGTCTCAGGCTAAGAGGGATTCTGAGCTGGCTCCCAGTCAGCCTTCTTAACATTTGGCATCCACTCTCCTAATCTCTTTGCTATCCAGTGTCTAGTCAAGAAACATTGGTTTAGTCCTACTATGTGTCATGCATTGGGCTATCCCTGGGAATACAAAGATTCAGCAGACACTCTCCTTGTCCTCCAGGAGAAGGTAAACATGTGAACAGACAATGGCAACCCAGGCAGACATGTGTTATAGTAGAGGGCAGCCCAGGGCTCGTAGTATCCCAGAGCAAGGATCATAGGAGATCTGAGAGATCACATTTCCTGCCTCTAGCTCTTTCTGGGCTGTGAATGACATTAACTCATTGTAAGATCTTAGATTACATTTCTTCTCTGGCCTTAGTTTTCTTTCTCTACACAGCAGGGCAGCTGGACTTAGTGGTGCTCCAGATCTTACCCCACATACTCACCTCTTGTGCTTATGCTGCTGGGCACCATGCAGTCCTCCTTGTACTCTCTGTGTTTCTCAAGAGGCAGAGGCCTCATCAGAGCTCCAAGTCACATCAGGCAGAAGCCTTGGCAGTGGAGCACAGGAAGGTTGAATCTGGGACTTCCATAGAGGTTCCAGGATTTCTTTTGGTATCTGCCAGTGTTGGACATGGCCAGGTCTGCTCTGGGCACATTGCCTACCTTCCAAGTCATGGGGGAGGCTGCTTCTTGTGATCATTTTACTAGGACCTGGGAGTGCAATGACAAGCAAAACCAGACACAGTTTGTAGCCTCATGGAGTTCACTCATGGAACTCTGGGTCCTCATGGAGTCTAGTTAAAGAGAAAGTATTAATAAAACAGGCACATAAATGAATGTATAATTATATCCTGGGGTAAGTGCTGGAGTGCTAAAAACATAGTCCTAGGAGAGCAAGTATAATGAGGATTGAAGAATAGGTTTAGCAGCATGAGGTCATTATTGAGAGTTGTTTTGTCAGGATGATGAGTCCAGAAGCCACATGGGAGTGAACCAAGGAGCAAGCTGGAGGTGAAGAATTGGAGGTGGTCAGTGTAGATAACTCTCAACCAGTGAGCACTGAAAGGGCTGGGAGGAATCTTTGAGGTCTTCCATGGCAAGCACTTTAAAAAAGATTACAAAGAGATTCACAGACATCATCTTTTGTATTCTTTAGAACAATCTTGTGACATGGGAGGGTCAGGTTTTATTTCCACTTGACGTATGAAAAAACGGAAATCCAGAAAGATTTTTGTCTTGAGTAGAGAGTTCACAGCAGAGCCAGGACTGAAACTGAAGTTTCCGGAATCCCTGCCCTCCTTCCACTTTCCAAACAAAATGCCATCTGTCTGGAGGTTATTTGAATGAATAAGGACTGTATTCACCACACCCAAGTTTTCTTGATTACATTTTCTCTCCTCAGCCCCTACAGATTCAGGACCACGGCCAGCACCCACACTGCCTTCCGTAAACACTGAGCTAAATAAACCTAGAGCCTTGGTGATGAGATCAGCACTGCCTTTGTAAGTTGGTTTTCTCAACAAACATCAACTGAACATCTACTAAACGTAAGGTGAGATGACAGGTTCTGGGGACATGGAACTAGAAAACTGCCCGTAAGGAGCCCACAGTCTAGGATGGACAAAGCATGGACACAGAGTGTGAGAATGTGCACAGGGGTTGTGGGATCCTAAAGGAGAGTGAGGGTCAAAGAAGGCTTCCTGGAGGAGACACAGCCTGAGGTGAATCTTGAAGACAGAAGATGGCAGTGAGGAGCTACTGAGGGGTTTTAAGCGGGGGTGTGACAAGGTCACGTGTGTTTTAGAGAGATTTCTGGTGTAATGTGAGAATAGAGGAGGGGTGAGAGAAGAGATAGGGAATGACTCAGGAGACTGAATAAGAAGAAGTCTCCCAAAGCACATTTAAAAAGGCATAGCCAGGTTTTAATCTTGCTTGCAAAAGCAGATGGAAATATTCTGTGTTTTATATGTTTTCTTTTGGCATTGGAAAGTTTCACTTTCTTGACCAGCAGAAGCTGATACTGAGGGAATTATATTGCTGGTGGGCAGGAGGAAAATGAAATGCAGAGAAACAGGGAAGGAGGAGAATCTGATTTGTTGAGCTGTTGTTACGCATCAGCACTATGCTAAGTGCTTTTTACATAGTCTCATTTAATTCTCCCAACAACCTGTGAAGTAATGAGGTCTTCATATTTTATAACAAGAAACTGAGGATTAGAGAGGTTAATTACCTGTGGCCCATGGCCAAACACACAAATAAAAGGAAGAGGCAGGATTTGAACCCGGGTCTGCATGGTTCCAAATGCCTCACATTCCCTTCTTATGCATATGTGGTCTCAGTGGAGAATGTGGTGGAGACCTAGCTGACAGAAAAGCAGAGTAAAGCCCCTGGGCACCTACCCCTGCAGCCTTCTTGTTCACACACAAAGGAGTAATCACAATAAGCATTCTTTCCTCAGCTTCTAAGTGCAGGAGCTTTAGAAGGTTACAAATGGACTCAGTATGTGTGACATAGTCACTCCTAGGCGAGGTGGGTTTTACTTGCTTCTTACCACCCCATGATATCACATCTTGCAGAAGAGAGTGCTTCTGTGTTCAGGGACAAGAAGATAAGAGGTTTCATGTCGGTGCCAATTACCTTCTTTGACACCCCTGAGGTGCCCTTGGCCCCCAAATTTTGGAGACTGCGTCATTCTCTCTGGGCCTTTTGTGGCGGCTATGACAGCGTCTGCCGCAGAGCCTAAGGAAGCTTTATGGAGATGGTCACACTCCAGTGCCCAGCCCACTTGTTGGAACTTTCCAGAAATATTGCACTGCAGACATTTTCCACGCTGTTATGCTAATGGAATCAGGAAAAATCAATTGTCCTTAAGGAACAGGGGAATGAGACGTGCTGTAAATGCCACGGAATGAGTGATTGGTTGATTGCTTGCCCGCGATCGGAGCTTGTCTCATCCCTACATTATTCTGATGAATTTTTATGGCATGCCTCCTTTCTTGCTTGCTCCCTCTCCCCACCCCCCTTCCCCCCTTAGCTGGGGAAGAAGGTTTATGGCTTGCAGCTTCTCAGTTGATTGAATGCAGCTGGCATTGTTGCAGCAGAGGACAAATAGGTACATTTGCTTTACAGGCTGAGAAAAGTGGGTTTGGAGAAATTGCACAGCCACGTCCCTCTGCAACAAAGTCGCCCTTAAAAATGCAGATATTTTTAATGAAATGACTTTACTCTCCTTCCAGGCTGTCCCTAATCTTTCTGTTAGAGGAAAGGGCAAAAAAAAAAAAAAAAAAAAAAAGTTGGGGAAAAGAAATGTATAGCTTGTGATTCTGCGGAAATCCGATTTTTCATTCTTATCACAAAGGACGCTAACGAAAGCATTTCATTAGTATTCATTTTAGGCCAATGTGATTTTCTCCTTTTTGCTAACACAAAAATAAATAAATAAACAGTCGAGCTATGTCTGGGAAACTGCCGACAAGGCGGCTTGGAGCAGAGGTCAGCATTTTCTTGAATGAGTGTGCACCGCATTCAGTAAGGTGGCCAAGAAAATGGATCCAGCTCAAATAAGGGCCATCTGGGGCAGGGATGAGACAAGGTTTGGGATGGAGACAGGTCCCTTGGGTTTCCAAGCTGGTGTCCAGCTTGGCCATGGCAGTTTGTGGACTGGAGAAGGCAAACAGGCTGTGACTGCTGTTTTCCATGGGGAGTTAGCTGCAGCTGATACTCTCTGTGCCTGGCTGCTGGTTCTGAGGATGGGGATGCTTCAGTCCTGGCCAGGGCACTAGGCAACTCCTATTGTTCTTCTTTCCTGTCTCTTCCTCAAGGGCAACTAAGCCCTGTTGAGGGTTGGGAAATCCTACTAGGTGAAAATCTGGGAGTGTTTGGCTGGAAAGAGGAGATTTGGGGACACAGCTGTTGTCTTCATCCATCCAAGGGAGTATTGTGAACGAAGAAGCAGGCTTATTGTATTGGACTTCAGAGGGCTAAACTAGCCTCAGTAGGTGGAAGTGACAGCATGGCAGAGAAATCCATCAGATTTGAGATCAAATTTCAGATCAAGCATTTTCTGAAGGTGTCCGCAGACAAGTCTCTGAGCCTCAGTGACCACATTTTTAAAAGGAAGTAAATGAAAATAAACCCCAATGTATTCTTTCCAGGCTACTGGAAAGTACAGTAACTTGGAAGTTACTGTGCTAGGAAGTGGCTCTCAGTGACCCCTTTGTAGAGAAGGGAAACCCAGATTCAGAGGGGGTAAGTAGCACAACCTCTGGGAAACAGGCCCCTAGACTCCGAGGCCAGAGCCCTTTGCCTGCCCCAGCCAAGGGCATCCTTGTTCAGCTACTTCTCAGGACTGCTGTATGGAAGAGGTGAGTGAGATACACAAGCAGAACACTGTTTGTTCTTGGATAAAAATTCTTACCCAGTTCACCTCAAAAATCAAGTCATCTGACATATTTCCATCTCTCTGGGGCTGTACACTCCTGGAGGCCAGTGTCCCTTTGTACTCTCTGTGCTTAATTCAGATGTTTCAGCAATTCATGACTTGCCTTAACATGCTGTGTCTTTTGATACTTCCTGGCCCTGGCCTATGCTACTGTCCCTGCGTGGAACATTCTCCCCTGCCTTTTTCATTTGGCTGAGTCTCACCCATCCTTCAACTCAGATTCTACAGCTTCTGAGGAAACTTCCTTGACATCCCACACAGGCCTGTTATTCTCTCTGCTCTTGTTGGGTCACTGTGTAGTTGTTTATAGAACCATAATGATACTATTAATAGTAACACAATGAGCAGTGGGAATCTTGGTGTCAGGCTGACCTGAGTTCAAATCTTGACACTGCTGTGTAATCATGAATGAGTTACCTAAACTCTCTGAGCCTCCCTTTCCTTATTGGTCAATGGTGATAGTTATAATAATGGTACCTATTCCAAAAGGCTATTTGGAGAATTCAATAAGAAATATTTGTAAAGTACTTTCTCAGTGCTTGGCACATACAAGACCTCAGGCAATTCAAAATGAATGACTGAATACAGTTTCTTTTAGGTTGGCTAGAAATATTGATAGAGGTGACCAAGGACACATTTGTTTTTCCGTTCCCTCACTCCTCTTGTCCATTTTCCCCTGGCCTTATTCCTTCCTGCCTGTGCCATTAATGATAATTAACACCCACAGTGTGCCAGGCAGTTAGTGGCAGACCCAGCATAGAACTAGGGTTTCTGAGGCTCTAGTCTAGGACTCTTTTTCATCGTCCCTCTCCCAATCAGGTAGCTTCTCAAGGCAGGTGTCGCATCTTTTTCACCTGTCTCCCCTGCTGTGCCTCCCACAGGTTAGGCCCCACTGTAGGTGGTCTGTGAAGTCTGTGAAGGGCCGGGGTTGTGGGCTCACTGGCAGGGGGATCTGGAGCCCAGTTCAATTTCTGCCTGCCTGTGTGACCCCGAGGCCATCAGTTTTCTCATCTATCAGGGAGTGGCACTACTTCCTGCCAGACCTGCTGCACTGGGCTATTGTTAATAAGAGAGGAAGAGGAGGGGGCTTTGTCAGCTCTCATGCGTGGTAGGGGTTGAAGCTATTGCTGCTGTTTCTGTGTCCTTGTTGTTGTTATTGCCTCTCAAAATAAAAAAATTCCTCATAGCCAGGGTTCTGGAGCCAGTCTGTTAGAGGAGATGGCTCTGCCCTTGAAAGCCACTCTCCCGGTCTGGCGTTTCCTGTGAGTAATTTGAAACTGGGGCTCAGGGAACTGAACTCCAGTTAATGGTTTTCAATAAAGAATTAAGTGCTGCTTGTCAGGCTGGTGCTGGGGCCTGGCTTCCCGGAAAGGGGGAGAGTGCTGGGGGGTGGGGAGCAGTTGCATGCGTTTAGGGATGCGTTTACATTTTCCGGTCAGTTAGGCAGCCTGATGAAAAAGGGATAAGATCTGGCCACAGCAGCCAGAGGGCGGAGGTGGTGGTGGTGGGTGGGGCGGGCAAGAGAGACTGAGACCCCGCACTGGGGAGGCTGCAGGGAGGGAGTAGTGGTCATTGCCATTAGAGCTGATCAGCTGTTTCTACAAAAAGCCTGTTAGGCACCTGGCTCTTGCCCCCTTCCCTCGGGGCAGCCCCTGTGGGAAGGAATGCTGAAGCTTTTTCTGCTAGTGCTGCCTTCCACATCAGACATCACCTTTATAATAACCACAGCTCTCCTTACATGATTTCTGCATAAAATAGTTCTTTAAAGCCTCATCCACAGCCCTAAAAAGTTGCTATTACTTTCATCACTCTTGTTTTTCAGATAAGGACATTGAGGTACAGAGAAGTTAAGTAACCTGCCCAAGGTTACACAGCTTCTGGAGTAGGAGATCAGGGCTTCAAACCTAGGTAGTCTGGCACCAACATTATGCTGTTTAGCCACTCTGTGGTATTGCCTGTCATAGGGTCTTGAATCACTTTTTCTCCAGCCTACGAGGTTGGCAGAGGAGGGTCATTCACTCCATCTCATAGATGAGGAGACAGGGTCCGGGGGTTGTTGTGCCTCTGCCAGGGGGACCAGAGAGAGGGAGAGGTAAATCAGGCACCCAGACACGGGGGAGAAGGAGAAAGGCCCCACAAGAAAGGTATTTGGTAGCAAGTATCAAAAGACTTAAAAATGTTCATACCTTTTGTGTTAGTATTTCTGTTTCTGGGCGTCTGCTCTAAGGAAATAATCTTTCCAAAATAAGACAATTCTAAATAAAAGAAAAGATTGATTATTTATAATATCAAATGATTGGAAGCAATTTAAGTACCTAACCATTGGAAATGGTTGAATAAAATCCGGTGTTTACACTCAATTTGACAGTCTGTAGCCATGAAAAATAATGGTTCTGAAGGCAACATAGTAATCTGAAAGAATGCTTATGATATAATGTTAAATAAGGAGAAAAGTAAAAACCAAATTGTATGAATAATAAAATCTCAAGTATGTACCAAACATGCAGGAGATAAGCAAAATAATAGTTGCTGTGTTGGGATGATGAAATTGTAAGTTCTTTTACTTTGTTTCCAACTTTCTGTAATGTGTTGCTTCAAGAATAGACAAATTGATGGACTTGGTCCAGAATATTGTTGTATGACCTAGGAAAAGCTACATCTCTCTATGCTTCAGTTTCCTAATCAGTAAATATGGATAAATCCTCCTTTTTCCAGGATTGCTATGTTTAATGAGATAATAGAAATAATGTACCTAGCAGGAGGCCTCTGCGTAGTAGGTGACTAGATGATGTCAATTACTACCCTGAGCTTTATTCTGTTTCTCACATGTTGTCTTCTGTCTTATTGATATTTGCACAGTGAGGCTGGTATAGCCAGGCCCAAACCTGTATCCCAGATATGAGGGCTTCCCAGAGTCAGGCACAGACATATCACTCCTCCACTGCCTTACATCTGCCAAAAGAATGAAGGCCAGATCCTCCAAGGAGAGTCAGCTGGACCTCAAACCCCTAGGCAGCTGCTGAGATTGACTTTCCCCGAGGGTGTCTCTGAGAAACACACACCACTAAGCCGGCCTTCTTTTCTGAGAACTTCTGGTGGGGCATAGAGACTTGTGTGGTTCTGATGCTGCGTGCTGGGGGACCCATAGGCCATCAATTTTCTCATTCATTTGTTCATTCATTACTCATTCACTGCATCATGTAGAGAGTCAGCTATAGCAGAGCCTTATTGAATGTTGACTCCATACCCACTGGGTGTAGGGGTGGGGGTTTGTACAGTGGGCTTTCACTTACCTTAGCTTATTGAATCCTCACATTTGCATTGCAGAAGAGGTTCACTTAGCTAAGCATGGCAATTTTAAAAAGCAAGATACAAATGAATGTCTCTCCTCACATAGTCAGTCAGTTAGTTCCCTGGCCCTGTCAACTCTGTCTTAGCTTCTCAGACCTAATCCTTCTGCTTCAGCCCCCAGCTTGTCACTCTTTTTGCCAGAGTCATCTTTATAAAACCCAAACCTGACCTTAGGAGAACATCCCTGCTCAGCCTGTAAAAACCAGTTTCTTTTGGTCTGATCTCCCACAATCTACCCCAACACACAGCCACTTCTCCTGCGCCTCAATGCCCCTTTATGGCCTATGCTTCATACACTCTTCCTACTTTCTAGACTGCCCTTTCCTACATGACAGACTCTAACCCATCCTCTAAAACCTAGCTCAACACCCCCTCCTTTTTGGCTCCCATAAAGGATTTTCTGCTCCCCTTCTTTGCCCATCTCTCACTGTACTGCAATAACTTCCAAGTCTGTTCTTCCACTCCAGAACCGTGCATTCCTCAAGGGCAGAGACCATGCCTTTTTATTTTTGTGTCCCCAGAGCTTAGCTCAGAGCCTGGCACAAGCAGAGGCCCAATGAGTGTTTGCTGAGTGAATTATGAATGACAGTGTGATCTCAGGGCCTCCACTAGGGAGGAGCAACAGGGCTCTTTGACCTCTTGGGAATGGGAAGTGTTCTCAGCTGAATTCTCTTGGCAGACACTTTCCAGCATCACCAGCTGCTCACTCCCCAAAGGCCCTGTCTCTGCTCAGCCCCCTGGCTGATATGAGAACATTTGGCCATAAACCTGGCTAGTGGGATTGCAGCCAGCACCTTGCAGAGCCTGCATCCTGGCAAAGACTTGACCTGAACAGCTGGGCATGCATGAATGCTTATGGTCTGGCCCTGCCACATCTCAGCCCCATGCCATGCCTCTATGCCCCCTCATGCTCCAGGCTACAGCACTACTGAAAAGTTTCCTGAAGGCATCTTGTGATTTCACTTTTCTTTATAGTTCCTTCTGCCTGGGATGTTCTCCATCTGCCCACCCTTCCATCTTTGCTTAGTGAATTCCTACTTGTTCTTCTTCTTGGTTCAGGTGTCACCTCTCTTCTGGGCAAGGAGCCTGCCCTGAGCACCTCCCAGTCTCTGGGGGCACCTCCATCATTATACTGTTCACACTGTGTTGTCATTATCTGTTTATTTTCCCAACAAGTCTGTGGGCTCCCTGAAGGCAGACACTTGGTTTAATTCACTTTGGTGTCCCTAGTACCTTGATCACGGTAGCTGCTGACAAATATGTGCTGCATGGGTGAATGGTTGGATGGATATGTGGGTAAATTGTGCTAAGACCCTTCCCTATTGCTCTGAGTCAAATAGTGGTACACTGTCCATGAAGGGGACCTGAGAATGCTCCCCAGTGCAGCAGTGGGTTGGAGAGAAGCCTGAGCTTCAGGACCAGCTCTGCTTCAAACTGGTTCTGAGTTCTCTCTTCACCTGTCTAAATTTGTTTCCTGACCTCTTAAATGGGAATAACAACCCTTGCTCATCATACCTAGTAGAGTAGTTGTGAGGATCAAGTTAAACAATGTCTCTGAAATTATTTTGTAAACTGTGAAGTGCTGTGTTTTTACTCTCTGTGGGGGAAAGTTCAGTGCTGTCAGGTGGCAATGCCCACTAGGGGGAGTGGCAGAGCAGGCCAGGCCCTTATATTGGAGACATGGGGACAGTGGATGCCAGCTCTGGGCTAGAACTCAGGCTGGCCCAGAAAGAGGGGATGCAGGGTCCAGGACGCTTCATGTTGAGGTCCCTGGCTCCCCTCTCCTCAGCACTTCTCTCCAGGTTTAAAGAGCAAGCTGGGCTATCTTTGAATTGCTAGAGGAGAAGGAAATTAGAAAAAGAAAACCCGGCCTGATGGCAAGGGGGCAGCCCTAACACTGCCTTATTGTGGGGGTGGGAGGTGGGAGCGGGAGATAGCTATGGGCAGGCAGAAAGTGTAGGACTTCAGCTTCTTTCCTTTAGGCACTGCTTTCTGTGACTAGCTCAAAAGCCTGGATTTCAGGGCTCTGAGGCCATTGTCTGACTGGTATAGGGCATATCTACTGGCTTATGGAATGCCACCTTATTGGGACAGGGTCTGGGTTTGCACATACCTTTCTCCATGGGTGCTTGAAATCTGCAGGCTTGGCCTACAGTTGATTAGCATCCTCTTTGCTGGGGCGGAGGGGACCAGACAAGGAGAACAGCTGGAGGAGAGCTCTGTAACCCAATTTGCTGTGCAGAGAAGCCAGTCTGTCTGGCAAGAGCTAATTGGAAAGCTGCTTCCTCTAAGCCTGGACCCAGGAGGGCCTTAGGCCTGGCTGGGCGGGGCCCCTTGGCTAGTCCAACATCACTTAGTGCTTTGTGGGAGCCACTCCCAGCAGGACAGCACTTAGCTCTGGTAATTGGCCAAGCAGGCTTATCATTAATTCATGCCAAATTGTATTTCTTCTTTTGAGAAGGGCAGGGGGTGGGGGGCGGGGGGCGGGGTGGTGGTGCAGGGGGGTAGGGGGTGGTGGGAGATAGAGATAGAGAGAGAGAGAGAGAGAGAGAGAGAGAGGAAGAGTAGAAGTAGGTGGGAATAAATGAGTTTCTGAAGTGAAGAGTCTATTTAAGGGCTTGGTTGAAGCAGCTTCTTCTTAGGATTGGGAAGACTGAGGATTCATTTGCTAATTTACTGTTGACCTGAGCAAGTCACTTTTCCTCAGGTGGTCCTAGTTTCCTAATCTGTGGTAGGAGACAATAACCTGTGATCTGTCTATCTCAGAGGATGGCTTTGAGGGCTGAATCCAGATAATGAGGGATGAGTACTTTTCAGAAGTTCATTTCAACAGGCTAAGGGAGACGGAAGCCATTTACATTTAATGTAATTATTGATGTGGTTAGGTTTCAGTCTATCATTTTTTGGGCAGTAGCTTTTGGATAGTTTTTTAAGTGACTCTTATTTTATTTCTTTTGTTGTCTTATCAGCTCCTTGGTGTGTAATTTTAATGGTTACCTTAGGGTTTATAGTATACATCTTTAACATTGCAGTCTGCTTTCAAGCGTTGTTGCAGCACTTCACATGTAGTATAAAACCTTAAAATAGTGTACCTCCCTTTTTTCCTCCTTGCCTTTATGCTAATTTAGTCATACATTTTACTTGTAAACTTCATAAAACATTGTTATTATTTTCATTTAAACAATCAACTATCCTTTAAAGAGATTTAAATCATATTTTTAAAATCTTATAAATCTGGTATTCTTCATTCCATTGTGAGGATTTATATTTCCATTTGGTTTCATTTTCCTTCTGACTGAAGGACTTCCTTCAATTTTTTTATAGTGCTATTCTGCTGGTGGTGAATTATTTTGGCTTTTATATGTCAGAAAAAGAGTTATTTTGTCTTCACCTTTGAAAGATATTTTCATTGGGTATAAGATTCTAGGTTGAGCAGATTTCTTTTTATACTTTAAAGATGCTGCTCCATTGTCTCCTGGCTTCATTATTTCTCTTTAGAACTCCTTTTTCACCTTATCTTTGTTTCTCTTTTTATAACATTTCTTTTCTCTATGACTGCTTTTAAGATTTTTCTTTTATTACAGATTTTGAGAAATTGGATTGTGATGTGCCTTGGGGTAATTTTCTTAATTTTTCTTGTATTTGGGGTTCATTGAGCTTCTTGCATCTATGAGTTTATAGTTCTCATCAAAGTTGGAAAAATTTGCGGCCATTATTTCTTCAAATAATTTTTCTGCATCGCTACTCCTTCAGGGACTGCCATTATACATATATTAGGTTTCTTGAGGTTGTCCTGTAGATCACTGATGTTCTTTTCATTTTAAAATTTCTTTTTTTCCTGTGTCTCATTTTGAATAGTTTCGATTTTTTTCAACTTTACTATTTTTTTGCAAGGTCTAGTCTGTCTTTAATTTACTCCATTGAATTTTTCTCTCAGACATTGCAGTTTTCACTTCTGGAAGTTTAATTTTGATCCTTATTTATGTCTTCCATGACTCTACTTAATTTTTTCAACAGAGAGAATACAGTCATAACTATTTATTGTCTATATTTCCTAATTCTAATATCTGTGTCAGTTCCTAATGAATATGCGTCTTCTCAATGTGGGTCCTATTTTTCTGCATTTTTACATGCTTTGTAGTTTTTGACTGAATTCCAGACATTGTGAATTTTACCTTGTTTGGAGCTGGATATTTTTATATTTCTTTAAGTATTCTTGAGATTTGTTCTGGGATGCAGTTAAGTTACTTGGAAACATTTTGATCCTTTTGGGTCTTTATTTTAAGATCTGTTAGGCAGGATCAGAGCAGCTTGTGGTCTAGAGCAAATTATTCCCCATAACTAAGAGAAGATTCTTCTGAGTGCTCTACCCAATGCCCTGCGAATTATGATTTTTTTTTCAAGTTGGCTGGTAGGAACAGATACTGTTTCTGATCCTGTGTGAGTACTGGACTCTGACGGGTCTTTCCCTGGCCTCATGTAGTTTCTTCACACATATGCACTCATTGTTCACTGGGAAACTGTCACAGATTTCTAGAATTCTCTCTTTGTGCAGTGCTGTCTTTCTCTCCAGTACCCTTTCCTGTGAACTCTAGTAGTTTTGCTCTCCTGGGACTCTCAGCTCTGACTCTAC
Organism: Homo sapiens; assembly: GCF_000001405.40. Classification (NCBI taxonomy): domain Eukaryota; kingdom Metazoa; phylum Chordata; class Mammalia; order Primates; family Hominidae; genus Homo; species Homo sapiens. Next base: position 50,269,161 of record NC_000001.11, on the reverse strand, counting down.
TATTCAGGGAGTCCACCAGATCCTCCCTCCCTGTGCTGAGGCATGGAAATTCTCAAGCAGTAAGTTGGGGGCAATGGTAGGGCCCACCTTGCTTGTTTCTCAAAGATGACTATTGTTCTTTGAGAAACAATACAAACCATTGTTGCTTCATATCCACTGTTTTAAAAACCATTGTTTTATATATTTTGTCTGTTTTTTTGGGGGGAGTGGGGTTGTTTTACATGAGAAGGCAAACCCTACCCTTGTTACCACCTTGCCTACAAGCGGAATTTCACAAAGAGGCAGGAAATGAGGATCTTTTAAATAAAGTATGCTCCTATACCTAAGTCTTGATGGTGTGGGATTCCCAGGGCTGGTTACAGTAAGGTTTGATAGAGTGGAGGACAGCAATAAAGAGGCCAAGGTCCTAAGTCCTGGAATTTGTCCCTGATTATCCTGCTACTTATAATTTTTAGAACAGAGTCCAAAATTTCTATCATATTGTTCAGGATTCTTCCTAATGCAGGCACTTCCAGAAGGGCTCCCCAGAGACAATAAATAATGAATATCACAAATAATAAATTATATAGTATGTTGGTATGTAATAAGTGGTATTGCCTATGAAAGTCATCACCACTGTGCCTGACACATGGTAGGTAGCTAAGAACTCTTTCTAAGAAAGCCAAAGAAGATTTCTTCATATTGGGAAGCCAATGGGAGCCAAGTCTTGAAGTATGATGAGAAATTCAGCAGGTACAACAAGGAGCAGTATCTGGCATAGGAATAAACAAGATTAAAGTTTGGAGATGGGGGATATGTTTGGGAAATGGCCACGGTCCTGTCCCTGACAAACCCACACAGTTGCTATGGAGCGAATGCATCAAGCTTTCAGGGCTGGCAGATGGAAGTTGTGTCAGTACCACGGAGAGCTCCAAACCTCAAAGGAGAGCCTGGCTGCTCACCAGCTGATTTACCTGGTCAACTCAATCCCAAACCAGAGTGACTCTGTCCAAAATTCAGACAAGGCTGATATCTACTTTTTTTTTTTTTTTTTTGAAATGGAGTCTCGCTCTGTCGCCCAGGCTGGAGTGCTGTGGCACAATCTCAGCTCACTGCAACTTCCGCCTCCCGGGTTCAACGATTCTCCTGCCTCAGCCTTCCGAGGAACTGGGATTACAGGCATGTGCTGCCATGCCTGGCTAATTTTTGTGTTTTTAGTAGAGAGAGGTTTCACCACGTTGGCCAGGCTGATCTTGAACTCCTGACCTCAAGTGATCCACCTGCCTCAGCCTCCCAAAGTGCTGGAATTAAAGGCATGAGCCACTGCACCCAGCCCAGGTAAGGCTGATATCTGAATTTGACTTCAGAATTGGAAGCTAGTCCTTTCCCAACGTACATCTCTTGCTGTTGGAGTAGTTGGCAGAATCTTGTTGCACTGAAATCTTTGGACTAACTGTTATCTGAAGATCTGGGTTTGAATCCTAGTTCTACCTCTAACTAGCTGTGTAGCTTTAGATGGATGAGTTATTTTCTCATCCGTAAAGTGAGAAAAATGATACTTATCTGATAGTGGTGTTGTGAGGACTAAGTAGGAAAGAGCTAGTAAAGCAAACACAGAAACATAGAAGATACCTTGAAATACTTTGCTATGGGGTGAGTGAAACCTTTAGCAATGTTAGACCCTCTCTGGAGGTGATGCATAGGATTTCAGAGTTGATAAGGGAGAAAGGACATTCTAGGCAGAAAAAACAGCAGGAGCAAAGGCAGGAAGGCATGAAAGTGAATGACTTGGCCAGGAAATAGAGAGTAGTTTAATGAGACTGAAGCTATTCGGGTGCCACTTTTATTCTGAGGCCGCCTGAACCACTATTTTCAGCACAGAGCACTCCCTTGAACTCCTGACTTTATTTCCAGCTAGTCTATTGTGTATCCCTGTTGAAAGTTCTACATGCACCTCTAACTCACCTTTCCAAAACAGAATTCATCTCTTTCCTCCAACATGCTGTCTTCAGATAGCATGTCAGAAGGAAGAAGTGTGACTTATGAAAGGCCTTAAATTGGGTGAAAGTTGTCTTAAAGAATATGGTGACCTTATTCTCCTTTCCAACTAAGAGCAGAAAATGAGACTGGCTTAACCTAAAGCATGAGATAATTGGGTTAGAGAAAGGAAGGACTTCCAATGTTGTAAATTGTAGGGAACTCAGAAGGGCTGACCAAAAGAGGTTGTGCAATTCTCCTCCCTGAAGAAGAGGGGACATTATCATCTAGCTAAGATATTTTTCCTCATCATCACTATTTAGTAACTATTACAATAATTGAATTATTAATATTCTTTTAACAACAGTTTATATTTGTATAGAACTTTACAGCTTATAAAAGGTCTAATTCGATCTTAATTGCCACCCTATGAGGTTATCAAGATAAGGATGATTAACTCATTGCCCCTCTGCCCTCATTTTATACATGGAGAAACTGAAACTGCAAGCCACAGAAATGATGCAATTGGCAAGAAATCAAGTGGTGCAGCCAGGAACAAAACTATGTCTCACAGCTCGCATCCAGACCTATACTCTTTTTTTTTGTTTTCCAATAGAGCACTCTGGCTGTCAACTGAAAACAGCAGCAGCAGCAGCAGCAGCAGCAACACCACCACCAACAACAACGACAACTGTTGCATATATAACTGAAGATCCACAGAGTCCCTCTTTCCAGTGTTAGTTGCTACAAGGAGTGAGAGAATGAAGATCTGACCTCAAGGAATACAAGAGTTTTGTTCAAAGTTCCAAGACTAAGCTATTAGAAGGGAGGGAGGGCCTGGTGCCATGTCATCTCTGACCAAGAGAATTGGTAGAATAGAAATAATCTATTTCTCACGTGGTCTAGGACTTGACAATTTACATAGCAGTTTTATATCCTCTACTTCATTTGACATGCTCCCATCACCCTGTGAAGCATGTGTCATTGTTACCACTCACTTTCCAGATAAGGAGAGATGGGGAGGCTCAGGGAGGTGAATGGATTTGCCTGAGGCCACTGGTCAGTGACTGAGCTGGGATAGGAATTACTTTCTCTGGTCTCTTGATCTCACCTCTTTGTCTCACTCTTTCTGCTGCATCTCAGTTGCTTCTGCGTCTGGCCAGACCCAAAAACAAATCATGTAATTGAGTTGGAATGTGGGTGCTGGGGCCCGGGAGACAATGTTTTCTGCTTTTCAATCTGTTCTTAATTTATTAAAGTGATGAAATAAGGAAGAGGCCCAGAAGGGTGGATGTTTTCCATCAGTGAGTCAGGGGAACATGCAGAGGCAGAAGGTCAGGAGGAAGCTGCTGTTGCTCCAGCAGCTTCACCCACTCTGGCCAAGTCCCCACAGATGTGCTGGTGGGGGAGACCTTCTTAGAGCTGCCCCAAGAGTAAAATAAACCAGAAAAGAGCAAGCCCTACTGGAGACTCTCTCCCTCCCCACAATGTTATCTCTGACTACCCGAGCACCTTCCCTCTTATCTGACAAATGTCCATTGTCTAAGGGAGAGACCGAGTGAAGGCAGGAGGAGGCCTAATTCAGCCTGAGGAGGGTCAGGAAAGGCTTTCTAGAGAAGGTGACACTGGCACCTTAGACTTGAAAGCTGAAAAGAAGTGATCTGGGAAAGGGGGATGAGGAGGAGAAAGTGTTTTCCAGGTGGAGGAAATAGCAGGTGGGAGGTTTGGAGATAAGAGAGGGAATGGCTGGAGCCATCAGGGTGGAGAGATGAGGCTGGACCGGCAGAGGGGTTGGCAGTGCTGGTATCCAGAGGGCCTTCCAGGTCAGGTTGTTATATCTCCTCTGAGGAAGAGTCCTGATTGTTAGCTCAATTTATGTGGTTAGGCATAGAGAATGGATTGCAGGAGACAGTGGCAACCCAAGGCAAGTAATAAAAAGGCTAGAGAGTTGGTGGGGCCTGAGTAGGGGGCAGTGGGAATAGGGATCAAGAGACAGAGAGGTGGAGGGACGGATGGAATGGAATCTTTTTTTTTTTTTTGAGACAATGTCTCACTCTGTCACCCAGGCTGGAGTGCCGTGATTGCATCACAGCACTGCAGCCTTGATCTCCTGGGCTAAAGCAATCCTCCCACTTCAGCCTCCTGAACAGCTGGGACTTCAGGCACATGCCACCATGCCCATATGATAATTTTAATTTTTTTTTTCATTAGAGATGGAGTCTTGCTATGTTGCCCTGGCTGGTTTCAAACTCCTGAGCTCAAGCAATCCTCCTACCTCAGCCTCCCAAAGTGTTGGGATTACAGACGTGAGCCACCACATCCAGACTGGAATAGAATCTTATTAGACTAATGACCTTCTAGTGCATGATGACTGGATGGTGGGTGGAGGAAGGAAGAGGAAGAAGCTGGCTTGGCCCAGGCCTTTGTGACTTGGCCCAGGTGGCCACTACAGACAGCTGTCTGTGTACAGTGTACAGAGGGCAATGTTCTTGAATTGCTGTTCAAACCCAGACTGTTTGCTTGTCATCTGTACTAGTCAGGTTCTCCAGTGAATCCAGAACCAGTGAAATACACATGCACACATATACACACACAAAATAAGGAGTCATCATGCAGTTATGGAAACTGAGAAGTCCCATGATCTGTCTCTGCAAACTGAAGACTCAAGAATGCCAGTGGTGTGATTCTGGTCCAAGCCCAAAGGCCTGAGAATGAGGGGAGCCATTATGTATATCTCAGTCCAAAGGCAGGAGATGACTGATGTCCTAGCACAGATATGCAGGCAGGAAGGGGATGAATCTTCCCTTTTTCTGCTTTTCATTCTATTTAGGCTCTCAGTGGATCGGATGAGGCCCACCCACATTGATGAGAGCAGTCTACTTCACTGAGTCTAATGATGCAAATGCTAATCTCACCCAAAAACATTCTCACAGAAATGCCTAGAAATAATATTTAATCTGGGCACCTTTGGCCCAGTCAAGCTGATATATAAAATTAACCATCATACCATCTATAAGGCAAAAACTTTTCTGTGCCAGGCTCTGTGCTGGGCGTTGGGCATGCAGTGATGATTCAGAACCAGACTTTGTCTTCCAAGTTGGGAGACAGGCACATAGCAGTGATGACAACATGGTGTGCTGCGGCTGAGACAGAGAAGTTTCAGGATCCCAGAAAGGGAACCTAAAGGAGGGCAGGGAGGCTTCCTGGAACAGGTGACTCCTGAACCAGTTCTTGAAGCCCAATAGGAGTTAGCTGGGTGATTGAGGGAGAATATAATATTCTGAGGACAGAAAAGAAGTTGTGAAAGAGAATGGTATGATCAGCAGGAGGTATATAGGTGGAGCCAGGTGTGGGGAGAGGGAGACAGGTGGGGCTGGGCTTTCCTGGCCTGGTTCTTTGTGTACTCTATTCTTTCAACTTAAGATGTTTTTCTCTTTGGCTCACATTACACTACCCTTTAAGGTCTACTTTAAATTCAAACTTCTCGAAGCCTTCCGTAATCCTCTCCCTTGCCAAAAATAATTTATTGAGGACCTACTAAGTGCTCTTTATATCTTTCATTTTATTAATTCATTAAGGCATCCCTGTGAGGTCAGCTGTTCAGTTCAGCTCAGCATACCTCTGGTCCCTGCTATGTGCCATGCCCTAAAAATATGGAGATAAATCAGATATTATAGCTCACATTCTAGTGGAGAAGACACACCTATTAACAGATATTTTTAATACAAATAATATTGGGTGCTATTATCTCAATTTTGCAAAGGAGAAACTCGGACATTTACTGGTTAACCGATTTTGCTCAGGGTCATATGAGTAGTAAGTGGAACCCTGCTCTAGGTAGAGTTGAGGTCAGTGCTCTGACCTCTGCTCCAGTCAACTCCCATGGCACTTATCATGATCTGTCTGGGAAGGATGTATAAATAAGGAGATGCTGATATTTGACTTACCCTGGGACTTGGTTTTGAGCTCAGTGAAAGCAGGATCCAGTATTGTGAAGTGGTTCTGCAGAGACAGAGCTTGAGAAGAGGGTGGGACTAACATTTAGAAAGTGTCTACCACGTGTCCGCCTGTTCTGTTGCCAGTCCCACTTCCCACCTTTGTGCCCCTTCCTCTAAATAGCTTCCCACATCCTCCTACTATCATCTGCCCTGGCTCTTTTCTCTTCTCTTGGTCATTGCCTGTTAACTTGTTTGTCTTCCCCACTTGATCAGGTTGGAATCTTCAGAGCCCATCATAGTGTGTGGACTGTAGTCAGAGTTCAGTAATCCTGAATTGGATTGACAGAATTCTTACTGGCCATGCTCTGACAGAGAGTCGGCTTGTGTCTCTGCCAGTACCTGTGGGTGTTGAGTCTGTGGGTTATCTGTGTGGGCTCACCACAGTTTGCATGGTGTGTGTAGCTCCTGTTTGGGCCTTGCATTGACTTCCTGCGTGTTCCCTATAAGGGTATTCCCACCCCCTTCTGAGCCCTATGCCTCCTCCCCTCATTAGTATCTTACCCTGACCAGCCCTAAATGTCCCTCTCTGTCAGAAATATATTTCAGGGTAACTTGTGTCTCCTAGCCATGATTAAAAACTTCTGAACACCCTTGGGTGTGGAGCCTGGTCTCTTGGTGCATATCAAGTGCCTGCATTTGCCAGCTGAGCTCCCCAGCTCTGTATCTGCTGACAATGAGATCAGGCCCAGCTTGGTTTTAAAGGTGAGTGGGCAGTAAATGATAAAACTACACTCAACCTCTTGCACAGTCCACAGCTCTGAAAGCACTCCAGCAGGTTTACAACTTCTCTAAGGGGCTGAACTTTTGCGGGGAGGGTTGGAAAGGTATGGATTTAGAAATTGTTGTCTTCAGACGGTTTGTGTTTCTGGGTGTTTAAGAAAGTCTCCCCCCGCACCCCAAGCTGATCGTTGTGTTTTAATGACGCAAAATCATGAATATTAAACCAATGGAAAGTTGACAGTATTTAAATGAGCATCATTAAGAGACACATAAATTAACAGGGTTTTTAGTTCTTGTGGAACTGCCGTTTCAATGTTAATTAAACAACCGGAGTGCTCGGGCGCTTTTGCAGCAAACTGTCCCCAAAGTGTGCTGCAGAATATCATTATGGGTGGCTGCCTTGCTGTTTAATTATTTCCAAGTTGATTTTTTTTCCATTGCTGAAGTAGTTTTATGCTTGTCTTGCATTTGGAAAAGGTGATGGAGCTGAACCTCTAAGGAAACTGTCAGTGTGATCTCTGTTGGCCCTATGGTGAAGACCTGAGCTGAGCAATGCTTGTCCCTTCATGCCAGCCTTCTGTGAAGGAAGCCCAGGTGCCCCTTTGGATCTCCTGATGGGCTGGTCCCTGACTATTAACCCGGGGTGTCTAGGAGGTACCTGGCTCCTTAGTTGCTGACCATCTTACTCTTAGAAAGTTGGGGGTCTGAATTTGGATGGAGCCCTTAGATGCAGAAGGAAAGGCAGAGAGTGTCAGATTAGGGGAAGGGGTAGCAAAGGCTTCCATGATTATACTTGAGGCAGTGTGGAGTGGAGGAGCCAGGAGCCCTGGGATCTGCTCTTGATTCTATTTGGTCTGAGTTAAGTGACCTTGAGGCATTCCCTCCACCTCTCTGGCATCAGTCTCTTCAACTATAAAATGACAGGGCTAGATTAGATCATGCATTCTCAAAGCAGGTGATGTTGCCCTCAAGAGGGTAAAAAGTGGTTCTTGGGAGGGTGGAAAGAGTGTACTCTTATTTTAATGTGTAAAACAATAAATGTGTATTACATAAACAGGTACATAGTATATTTGTGGTGTTAAGAAAAGACTGAGAAATACTGGACTGGATGAACTCTAGGAGCTTCATCTTTAAAGAAAAGAAAGTCTCCTGTGAGATGGATCCCCAGATGGTCACATTCCCTGGAATATGGAAATGGTCTTTATCGTTACCTGTGTGAACTTGACTGGGCTCTTATCTCCTGGGCCTCAAGGGCCTAGTGTGTCAAATGAGGCCATTCATCTCTTACCAGTCCAAAGGTGCGGGGCTGGACTAAAGGAACTTTAGAAGTCAGTGAAGCAGCCTGGTGGAGAAGGATGCAGTCCTGGGTCCCAGTGTGTGGCTTTTGAAACCAGCCTGCTGGCACCAAAGCTTGGCTCTAGCACTTAAAAGCTGTGTAAACTTGGGTGAGTTCTCAACTCCTTTAGCAAAATGGGATTGTGCACAGTACTTCATGGGGTTGTTGTGATGATTAAGGCAGTCAACATAAAGAAAGAATTTCATGGGGTCTGACATACAGTAAGGGCTCACCAAGTGTTGATTATACACATCATTGTTAATATTAGTTTGTTTTATTGTTATTACTGAGTGGCCTTGACTGAGTTGCTGAACCCCTCTGGGTCTGGGTTTCATGGTTCACAGCTGAGACATGTTTCATGGCTTCATTGTATTTTTGCACACACTTTTTTTCTCTGCTAGAATGCCCTTGTGCCTGTGTCTGCTGGCCAAATTTCCACTCATCCCTGAAGTACCCTCTCAGCAATCATCTCCCTGGGAAGATTCCTTAAATAGGCTTAGGTGTTCTTCTCTGGGCTCACATGTGATATACCTCTGCCCCCTTCTTCATTTCTGCTGTTTATTTTTGTGTTGCTTTCCTGCACCCTTCTCTCCTTCACCTCCCCCAAGTTTTTGCTCAGATGTCACTTTCTCCATGAGGCCTTCTTTGACCACCCAATCTAAAGCTACCACCCAAGACATTGCTTATTGCTTCCCTTGTTTTTCTTCTTACACATTTTATGTTCAGCCCCTCACCAGAATGCAAACTCTCGGAGGGCATAGATTTAGGTCTGTTTCAGTTACTGTTGCAACCCCAGAATCTAGAAGAGCGCCACACATAAGAGACAATATTTATTGAACAGATAAATGAATGAAGTGGGCTTCCCCCTTACAGCATTCCATGCTGAATGTTGGAAATATTTGTAAGACCAGTTTGCTACTAGATGGTGCTATGATTGAGGGACCCAAGACCAGCTGAATCCCATTATGGTGAAGCCTCCTTTTCTTCCCTTTCTCCTGTCAATGTTTCTAAGGATATTACTGCACAGGGTGGGGACTAGCAAATCAACTGGAGCGCGCAGACATGCTTTACTCTAAACTGAGGTTTTCATTCCAATGCCTAGCACCAAGAACCCCAGGGAGCTGAGCTGGGCTGCTGGGCATGCGCCTTTCCCCTAGCTCATTAGGATTGCACTTCCCCACACCACAGCAGGCCACCAATGCCCAAATGTATGTCTCATATCTTACCACTGTGATTCAAGGAAATATTAACCCAATGCCCAGAAAAGTGGAGGGAGTGAGTAAGAGAGAGTGGGGCTTACCCCTATGCCCAGTGCCGAGCTGACCCAGTTGCAATGGGTGGATGGGGTAGAGAGGCCCTCCAAGGAGAGATGCTTGGACAAACAGCTTCTCTTTTAGGATATTTTAATATACATTTATCCATGATATATCCCCCAGGGTGGGTTTGTTTAACACCATAGGGCAAGATTCCGAATACAATGTTAAATGGAAAAAAAAGAAAACTATTATCATCTATCTATATCTATCATCTATCTATCTATCTATCTATCTATCTATCTATCTATCTATCTATCTATCTATCATCGCTATGTATGTATGTATGTATGTATGTATGTATGTATGTATGTATATACTGGAATGAAGTCCAGTCAAATGCTTCTGAGAGCTCTAAATATCCATCAGGTTGTACATTAAAGCACCTGTGGTAGGGGCCCAACAGGAGCTTGGGCAACAGAAAACAGCCTGGAATTGGGGTGTCAATATCAGGCCTAAGCTGATGGAGTAGGGCCTTTAACCTCTGTAGAAGGGTGATCACCTGGGGTGAGGACACAATGTGAAAAGAGCACAGTATTGGTTTTTTCCAGAAAGGGTGAAAGCCTAGGTCTGGAGATGAACTGGGGTTTCTCTCCTTTGTTCTTAAATTTCTGGCTGGGCCCAGGTTTGCTCACTGGGCATCCCAAGGTAAAAGAGCTTCCTGCTAGGGGTGCAACTTTCAAAAGCCCTTTTATAGAAATTAATATTTATTTAATCCAGAGAAGCCTTTAAAACTCAGGACTCCAAAGACAAAAACATAAAGGAAAAATTAATAAAGCTATAAAATTTTTAGACATAATACTTATCAAGTTATTGGAATTACTTGTTTAATATATTTTCTCCATCAGACTGTAAGCCCCATGGGAACAAGTACTGTGTATATCTTTTTCATTGTTATTTGACTGGTCTCTGGCACATATGAGGTGCTCAATAAATAATAATGATAATGTGTAAACAATAGGGAATCATCATGCTTCCAGTATTTGTTATGGTTATAGAAAATAACAACAATAACAAAAACTTTCTTTGGAATGTTTTCCATTCTTTCCTCCTTGCATATGCCAGGATTAATGGAAGAAAGTTTATACACCTTGAAGCATATTGGGAAAATTGCCACAGCACTTTGCAAATTCTCCCATCATGAGGTGGAGTGCATTTCAGGCTGGCTTTGTGACTTGCTTTGGCCAATAATATAAATGACACTGGGTGAGTTATAAGCCTAGTTCAAGAGGCATTGCAGCTACATCTCTTGCTCTTCTTGGAATACTGAGACTACCATCATGTGCTCAAGCCCAGACTACCCTCCTAGATGATAAAAAACACATGGCTCAGTTGATACCCATAACCACAGAGTTGATAGCCAGCCTATCTCCAAAGCAGAGCTTCCCAACTGACTCAAAACTATACACAAAGTGAATGAGCCCAGCCAAGATCAGCAGTGGAACTGCCTGCCTGAAGATAGCCCAAATACAAACCTACAGAATCATGACCTCTGTAAATGGGTGTGTTAAGCCACTGAGTTTTGGATGGTTTGTACACAGCCATAGATAACCAGTAAAGATATTCAGAGGTAATTAGAAGGTGTTTCATCCTATGCCCTGTCAATAGAAACACAAGTAAAATAACCAAACAAAGCTCATTGGGAAATGTGTAATGAAAGTCATAATGCAGGAACAACATTTTCAAGAGGAACTACATTAAGCAAGTATTTTCACAGCAGGTAGCTGTCCAAGGGAGAGATTGCTGAAGCTTGGTGGCGGTGATGGTTGTGCATTGGCAGTGAAGGTCCAGAAGTTTCTCCAGTTCTTAAGGTACCGTTACCACACCTCTTCTTCCTAGACCTCAAACAGGCTTTGCTCACTTATTCCTGTCATCTCAGTGCCACTGCAACTCTCATGCCAAAAAGGGTCCCCAATACCTATAGAAAAATATTCAAATTTCCTCTCTATGATTTGACCTCAAAAGACTTTCTCATTCCTTTTCACATCCTACCACCATCCCACATACACTATGCCATCCAGACCAATCCCCCTGGTCTAAACACACTGTTTTTTTACCCCCTGTGTCTTCATATATTTTCTCTCTACTTGGACCCCTCCTTCACTTGACACACCCACCCTTAGCCATCAGGGCACACTTATACAAATTTTACCTTCTTTGTGAAACCTTCACTGAGCTCTCTCAGCTCCCAGATTGTAACTATGGCAACATGTCTCATTATGAGCTAAACTTCTCTCCTCTCCTTGTCTCCTTGCCTCCTCTCCTAAACTTTTCTCCTCTCTACTTGGAAACAGAGTCCCCATCTAGTTCCTATTTCCGGGACAAATTCCCAGCGCATGACCTGTAATACAGTAGGAACTCAAAACTATTCTTTGAATAAATAAATGAATGAAAGCCAATATTTGAACAGGGTTTTGCAGCTTACAGAATATTTTTGCATCCATTGTTTCATATCAGATATTTTCATTAGCCCCATTTTCCAAATGAGAAAACTGAGGTTCAGAGTGGTTAAATAAGTTGTCTGAGGTTTCTCAGTGAGTAATTAGGAGGAGACCGGAATCAAGGCTTTTAAATTCCAAAGCCCATAATGTGTAAAACTTGTGTGGCTATTCACTCATGTATTCATTGCACAAATATTTATTTTGTGACCACTCTGTTCCATGCCTGCTCACAATTCCCCACCTCTCCCCAGTGCTGCAAATCCTGCCAGGATCACTCTTTCTACACTTATCTTCCTGCTTTGCCTTCACATTTGTTCCCCATGGGAAGTCTTCATTGAACCCAGGCTAAGTTAGGTACCTTATCTCTATTCCCGTAAACTTCTAGATTTGCCTGTCACATTTCTGTCTTCTCCAGTGGTCTATGAGCAGTTTTAAGGCTTTGTGGGACCCCTCTACAATTCCTATACAACAGCAAGGTCTTGTCTGGTTGCAGTAGAGTGAGGGGCCATGTGAAAGATGAGGCTTGGGGGTAGTCAGCAGAGGGCAGAGGATGAAGGGACTTCTTAATCATGTGAAGGGACTTGTACTTTATCCTCAAGGCAGTCAGGAACCAGGGAAGAGTTTTAAGCAGGTGAAATGCCATCATTTAAGGTATAGAGGAAGTGGAACTCTTAAACAAAACTGAGAAGAGATAGCCAGTGAGGCTGGGGAGACCAGCACACCTAGGAACATTCTAGCAGAAAATGTTGGTGCTCCACAGAAGTCCCCACACCTCACTTAATATGCTTTCAAAAGCACTCCTGGCTCTTCTTTGGTGAATGGCTCTTAGGCTACTGGGAATTAGCATTAGCCCATTAGTACAGACAGCTAGAGGTGTCTGGGAGTTTACAACAATTGTTGGATGTTGGAAGGGGGAGAGTGAAAGCCCAGCTCCCTTGCCTTGAGTTGGGATGATGTATATTTCAGACTTCCCCTTCAGGATCAGGCTCAAATCTACCCTCTGCAGGACTTTTGCCTGAGAACACAGCCTTATTTGGCTCCTTCTCCTTCCTGTCCTGCTTTCTTTACTCCCTCACTGGTTTCTCCTAGAAACATTTCCTTAAATAAATCACTTGCATATGTATCTCCATGTCAAGGTCTGCTCTGAAGAAGCCAACCTATGACCCATATGTGGGTATAGACATTGACATATAAATGTGAATACAAACTGTATATGTGGGTACAGACATTGACATATAAGCGGGAATGCAAACTGTGTTCATGCCCCAGTGCAGGAGCTCAGAAACATGTTCTGTCCCTTCTTCCTGTTCTTGGGCTGTGAACAGACACAGAAGACCATGAATCCTACCTCCTAGGACCACAGTAAGAACTGGCCAGTCCCATGAAGCTGAGCTGAACTTGTTCTGCCTCCATCCATGAGTGATTTGTTGTAATTCTCTTCATCTTTAGAGCATTTTACATCAGTTCTCTCAGTGGGCCTCCAAAACATCCTACAATAAAGGCAGGGAAGATATCAGCTTCATTTACTAGATGAAGAAACTGAAGCTCTGAATGGCTGTGTGACTTACCTGAGGCCACACACCTACCCTGGTTTCTTGATGTCATCATCTGATTTTCTCTACCATGCTGCTCCTCTGTGAGCTACTGGATCTATAAATAAACATGGGGAAAATGTTCATAGCTTTGTACTACAAGATGAAGATGAGTAGTACAAGTGAGTAAATGGATCCCTGTATAGAAATTCAGTGCAACCAACAAGAGACAAAGGCGGCTGGGAGTTAGTGTCAGGGCTACACAGAGTGCCTATATGGTAGACAGAAAATAATAGGAGGTACTGAGGTTGAAGAAAATGATGTGTTCCCCAGGATCTTGTCCAGAGGAAGTACAAGAGTGTCCCTCAAAGCACACATTGCATCCAGTGCAGAGTGCTGGGGAAAATTGGAAAATTGCAAAGGGAATGAAGCCACGTGCTCAAGGTGATGATACAAAAAAAGGACATTGAAATGAAGCTACTCATGCCCTTCTGGACAGTTTTGGCATCACCTTCTCTGGAAGGTGTTCCCTGGCACATCCACCACCCCCAGCCCCAGACTGCAAAGGAGGCACTGTCCTGTGTTCTTCTTTCCTGTTTCCCTCTGTCATAACTCTTAATAGTTGATAGAATAATTTCAATTTAATGTTTCCCAGAGAAGACTATGGAATACTTGAGCAGAGACTAGATCTAAGTCGTTCATGAATCCCACTGCCATGATCACAAACTGAGCCATGATCCTGACTACAGTTTAGCCTGGTCTTGGCCAAAGACTGGTCCTGGACCTCAGGTCTTAAGTGCCCTGGTCTTGGCCACAGACTGAGTGATCCTGGCCTCAGCCTGAGCTCTGATTCTGGCCACAGACTGAACCCTAAACCTGATCATTCTCTGAACCTCAATCTTGGTCACAGCCTGAGCCCTGATCTTGGTCCATGCTGAGGACTGATCCTGGCTATAGATTGAGTCATAAACCTGGCCCTGACCTAGTCATAGACTAAATCTGGACCCATCTAATATGCTCATCATCTCACAAGGGGCCCAGTGCGCCACTCTCTTGATATTTAAACAACCTGTTGCTCACATGTTTCTTGTCTCAGTCTCACATGTATTAGACCTTAAGCACTCCCAGGACACATCTTCCTCCACAGGCTGGCATACTGTGGGGCCTCTACAGGCTGCTGACAAGGGCTGGCTTGCTGAGTGACCACACTCTGATGAGGATGTGTTCACAGTGGCTGCAGTAAGGTAGAAACAGGAACCACTAAGGTCCGATCACAGAAGATCTTCGTGACTGCCTCTATCCTGACCATCTCTGTGATCAAAGCACATTTGAGAAAAAATTTGCCTTTTTACCTGCAACACAACAGAATTCCAGGTAACAGAATCTGCTTTTCCTTAATTAAGAGTCTGCCAGAAGTGGGAGAACAGTCGGGAACTTGAGGACAAAGAACATGAGAAGGAGAACTTTTGCCTTCCCAGGCAGAAAATTAATTATAAAATCAGATTGTGTTACCAGAATTGTTTGTATCTGTGTTTTAAGGAATTTGCCATCTTCTGAATCTAATGGATGGAGCAGTCAGAGCTTGACTGCTACAACAGTTTTTAATTTGTTTGGAAATTAGTCCAAATAATGAAGAAATGCTTTTCAATACAACATGAAGGCAATACAATTGGCACATCTCCTTTTAAACAACAACAACACAGTTCTCAACATTGAATAATTAAAGAAAAGCATCTGTCAGAAACAGGTTGTCAACCTCTGGTTTGGAGGAATGCTACTTCTAAGGGTATATTAATACCTATCAAAACTCCATACTTGAGTACTTTCTTTGTCTGTATCATTTTTGCCCTTCAAAATAGACCTGAGAATGTGGTAGGTAACCTTGTCTTCCATTTCAGAGAGAGGAATCCCTGGCTCAAGAGAATGGAGTCACTTGCCCAGGGTCATCCAACTGAGCTGGTGCCCTTTGCACTCCCCAAGCTGCTTCTCTCTGGGTTTGGTAAAGGTTTTTTGTCTTTACGAGAAACAGGTAAGTGGTTTTTTGTTTCAACTTGTGAGTTTTTTTAAATGGGTAAACCAGTTTGAAGTGTTAATGATGACTGATGATGTAGACAAAGTCCACACATTACAACCGCATAGCCCATTTTTCACGTAGAACTGCACACCTGCCCCAGTTTGACCAGCACCCACCCACTGTGTGGTCTTGTACATGTTGCCTTTCCTCTCTGAGCCTCCATTCTTCCTCAGTAAGTGGGGGTAATGTCTACCTCACTGATTTGTATGAAAAGTAAAGATTATGTTGGTATGTTAATGAGTAATTGTGAATTAGTTAGTGGTTGTGAGTGTTAAACCCTGGACAAAACCACAGTGGTATTATGGCACCTAGAACAATGCTGGGTGTCTGGTAAGTCCCTGAGCTGTGTTTTGTGAGCTTGCTCCATGCCCATCCTCAGGGTGAGACGTAGTCCTCAGGATACAGGAGCCACAGAACGACATTCCTCAATGGGCGACTGAGCTTTGAGAGATAGCTTCTCAAACTCACCACCCAAGAAAAGAGAGTCTTTTCTTGATCCCCCGCTCCAAGAATTTTCCCACTGGAAAGTGGATTGGGGAATGGCCTGGTGGGCAGGGTTCCTTGCTGAAGTTAGTTTTAATTTGTTTTATAGTCCTTAGAGGTGGACTAGATTTTAGAAAATGAAGAGCAAGGGGAAGGGCTTCTAGGGAGAAGCTGCACCAGAGGAAAGATGCAGAGGTGCAGAGGTGCAGGGAGTTGGGAAGGCAAGGCTGGGGAGGTGGGTGGGAACAATGTCAGTCTAAGGAAGCGGATTTGTTCTTCTGACAATTGGGAGCCATTGAAGTTTGGGGGAGGGAAGTAGCATTTACTGATTTTCTGTTAGGTGCTTTACATATGGCAGCCATTTAACCCTGTGAAGGTAGGTATCATCATGCCCATTGTACAGACTGAGAAGCTGAAATTTAAAAAAAGAAGTAAATGGCTATAGTCACACAGCTAGGAAGGGTGAGCACCAGGATTTGAGGTCAGTTCTAATGAATTCCAAAGCCTTGTTCTTTCCAGCACAACTTGCTACCTCCCAGTGCAAAATAGTGTATGCATGCTCGAGTGGGAAATTGTAGGTCACATACCTGGGAGTGGGGGCCATGGCGGGTTGTGCAGAAGGGGAGACCAGAACTACCAGCTTCTAATTTCCTCTGTTCTTCCCAACAGGAGGCTCAGAGGCCTCCAATACTAGGAGTGCAAGGCAGTATCCTCCCTTCCTTCTTTTCTCTCATCTTCTCACTCCTGCTGCTGTACTGGCTTCCTTCCCCCTCCCCATTATCCAGCCTTTTATCGCTTTCCAAGATGTCTAGGGACAGCCTTCAGTGGCTGGCTCTGTCCTGATAAATAATTTGCATGCACAACACACAGCTGAGTAATGGTGGAGCTGGGCTGGGATCCAGGAAGTTAGAGCTTTTTGCATCGTACTGTTCTTGTGCCAAACATTGTGCCCAGCACATAGTAAGTGCTCAATGAATAGTAACTCTTTTGCTGCAGGAGCTAATGTCCATCATACTGGAGGTTTAGATTTTTAGAGCCTGAAGATGCATTTGCCCACACTTCCCTTTGGAAGCAGCTCTTGTCACTGGTCAGATTTCAGCCTTTTCCAGAAGTAGGAGGACTAAGGTTTCCCAGTGTCTGCAGCTTAGGCTGGGGAGGCTGCAGCCAAAGGGTCTGGCCCCCATAGAAAGAGGTGGTCCAGCCTCAGCTCCAGCAGCCTCTCCAAAGAGTGAGGCCCTGGCTGCTTTGCATGCAGGATGAAGGCTCCTCTGGTCAATTTGCTTTCACTAATGTCAGGCCCCCGCGGCGCTGTCGTTGGTTGCATAGCAACCGGCCGAGCAGCGCGGCAGAGGTGGCCATGCATAAAAGATGACACATGATGGTGGGGCACGGGGTGACGATTTGCAAATTTAGATACAGTCGCAGCAGGAATATGAACTGGGCACTCGACAGGCATGGGGGTGGGTGGCTCTCTTTTTCTCCTCCCATCTCATTCAGAAAGCCAGGTTCCCACTGTATTTACAGGGGTCTGGGGAAAGGAAGCAGAAGTGGGGAAGTACGGCTTGACTTCAATCCCCAGAAAGCCAGGGGCTGGGCTGAAGGGGAAAAGGGGAAGTAAACAGCATGGGCAGCATGGACAAACAGAGGCCTCAGTGTGCCCTGAGGACCCCTCCCACAGATTCCTCCAATCTTGTGGAAGGCTGATGAAAGCAACTGGTCTGAACACCCCTCCTCTGCCAGTGGGTCTTCTCTTTGCCTCTCCTGACAGCTGCAGGGAGAAGATACGTGCTGGACTTGGCGTCTTCAGGCCTGGGTTCAAGTCCTAGTTCTGCCATTTCCTGATATTGGGTACTGCAGCAGGTGACTTTAAATCACATTCAATTCAATCTAACTGATACCAATTAAGCACCTACTATGAGCCAGGCGCTGACCTAGGGGCTGGGGACACGACCTTATAAAATACAGTACCTGTCCTTGAGGAGCCCTCAGTGTTGCGGGAAAAACAGATATTCAAATGATGAGATTATACTTTAATGCACTGAATGCAAAAATAGCAGACTAGGGAGGGGGCAACTTCTGCTCTGAGTTTTAAAGGTAATATAGGGACTGGCTAGGAAGGCAAGGAATGGAGGGAAGTGTCCCAGGCAAAGGAAACAACATAGACAAAGGCACATGGGTGAGAACCAGAATGTATTCTCAGTAGGAGGTGAAGGGAATTTAAAGGTGTTGATGTGGCCAGAGAGTAAAATTTAGTGCCTCAGGCTCAATGAGGACATGCCTGGGAATCTCCTAAGGTCCTCATAGATGCTTGGTTTATCCTTCTGCCCACCTGCCACCCTCACCATCTAAAGAAGTAGTAAACCATTCAGTAATCAATGGCCACCTTGAAGGATTTGGAAATCTGTCCAACCCAAACTCCTTATTTTAGAGAGGAGGAAGAATACCCAGAGAAGAGGGTGAGCTGTCAGAGGCCTCTCATTTACCTAGGTGGGGACAGAGGAAGGAGAAGAGGAGATAGCAGTGAGTAGGGCAGTAGGGTACCTGTCAATATGGATTCTGAGATTCTCATATGATGGGAACACAGTGATTTCATGAATAGAGACAGTTTCCTTCAGGAAGAGTTGATCTGGGGAACAACTCTAGTGCAAATACCATCTTCAAATGTAAACTCTCTGAGGGCAGGGACATTTTTCCCTCTTTGACAGCAACAGCCGTAGGTCCTTGCTGAATAGGTCCTTGCTATTCAGGTTCTTGCTGAATTAATTGCTCAGGGCCTTGACACCATATGTATACATATATATATATATATATATATATGTATGACTATAATATATATATACACACACACACATATATATATACACACACACATACATATATATACACACACACATACATATTTGAGACAGGATCTCACTTTGTCACTGGCTGGAGTTAAGAGGTGTGGTCATGGCTCACTGCAGACCCAAACTCCTGGGCTCAAGCAATCTTCCTGTCTCAGCTTCCTGAGTAGATAGGACTGCAGATGCACACCACTACACCCAGCTAATTTTAAACTTTTTGTAGAGATGGAGCCTCACTGTTGTCAAGGCTGGTCTCAAACTCCTGGTCTCAAGCGATCCTCCCACCTTGGCTTCCCAAGACACCAGTTCTTTTATTTCATCCTCCCCAAATCTCTGAGGTAGGTATTGTATCTCCATTTTTTTCAGATGAGAGAACAGCTCAGAGAGGAGCTGGAACTTGCCCAAATCACACTCAGCCTCAGATCTTACCCCATTTTCTGATTCATGATGCCATGTCCTTGTCCTTCCACAGCTCGGACTTCTATTCTGGGGTGAATTTGGGGTAATCGTGACAATGACAACAGACAAAATTACTGATGCTGGGAGCAGCAAGTTGGGTTTGGAGGTCATTGCTAAGCTGTAAAAGAAGTGATTTGACTATAAACTTTGGCTGGGCCTCCCTGAACGGGATCACATACCACAATGGAACCTCTGACAGGAAAGGTGGCTTCCCTCATGCCCCATCGTACTTTTTCATCATTCTTTAGAACCATGGAGGAGTTCAAATACCAGCTCAGACACTTCCTTGCTAGATGACCTCAGGTAATTCATTTTGCCTCTATTTCTTAGTTTCCTTTGTAGTAAAATAAGGACACTACTAGCATCCACCTTATGGACTTGTTGTGAAAAGTAAATAAATTCATATATGTGAAGTCTTAGAACACTGCCTGACATACAGTAAGTGCTTAATAAAAGTTTGACATTATACCGAAAACATAATAATAATTATTGGAGCAGAGAGGAGAAACGCAATTCAGCTTAGGATAGGAGTTGGAAGATGGAGGATGGAAAAAGGCCTCCTAAATGATCTGATAAGATGAGTTGAGTCTAGAAAGACCTAGAAGTTAGCCAGTCTAAGAAGTAGAGAGGAAGGGTGTTCCAGACTGGGGGAACAGTGGTTGCTAAACCTCAGAGGCTCCAACCCTTTATTTGGAAACTGAGATGCAGAGACGGTAACTCACCTGTTGAAGATCATGCGGCAAGCATTAGCAGAGCCAGGCTGGCCTCCAGGCCTCAGGCTTAAGGGGAGAGATCTGGATACCCCAGGGGAGCGAGGTCTGCGGATGAACATGGCCTCATGCCCTCTCTGCTGGGCTTATGTCTAAAGGGTCCAAGGCTGGGAAGGTAGACAGGTGAGGCAGACCTTCTCCAATGTCCAGGGGACCAGTGGGGAAGCCAGATCCTTCCTGACTTTTGAGCTTCCAACTGGAGAAAGGGGACCAGCGACCCTCACGTGGGCTGGTGGGCTGGTGCCTTGAGCCTCTGGAAGCTGAGGGGCTCACTGGGCTGCTGAGAAAACTAGTAAAGCCCCAGATCCTGGTGAGGACATGTGATCTGCATTATTGATAGATCTGGAATCTGTGTGGTAGCACATGCCTAGCCTGTGTAAGGAGACCAGAAGAGGCAAATGCCTCCACAGTTCACATCCTCTAGTGTGGGGCCCGTGTATTTCCAATGGCCTTTCCAACCTTTATGTGCTGTGGCATCTGTGAGGGGCTGGCTGAGAATCATTACTCCTTTCCTGAGAAGGCCCATGGAGGGTCCCTGGGTGAGGCCTTGACTGACATGAGCCCGAGAATTTTGGTTCTGACATCTGAAGACAAGACAGATTCTCTCTTAAGATGTGCTCTGGTTGCTCTTGGGAGGTATGAATCATGGTGGCCATGGGGCCTAGTAGCTTCTTGGGGACAATTGCTACAGTCTAGAGAAATGCCTGAAGATTCAAATCCCTGATCTACTGCCTCCTGGGTGTCTGACCTTGGCCAAGTTACTTAATCTCCTCCCTTTCCTCAGTCATACAATGGGGATAGTAACAGCACTAACCTCAGGATTATTCAGAAGATTAAAAGAGGCTGTACATATAAAACATTTGGCAAATAAATGAACTGACACAAAGGAAATGCCCAATGTGAGCTATTTAGTAGGGTTTCAAATTTAACTCACATTCCAACTCAAATCTGCAGAAAGAATGTATTTTTTTTTCTGTTGATGATCTGACCTTCCTTCTGAGCCTCCTCTCTTGCTTTTAGTTCTGGTCAGGATAAAATTCTGGCCTTTTTTTAAATGTCAGAGGCTGAATATTACTTTATCTTTCTCTTGGAATCCCTTTTGAGAGATTCTCAACTTCATGCTAGTTAGATGGGGCAAGACTCATGTACTTGGGGATGCAAAAGAGAATAATGCTTTATTAATTTCCAAAATATTCCCTCTGCTACTTTTTTATTATCCTAATAATGATACAGGGCCCCTGTCACCCAATTCAGATTGTAGTTCGGATTGCAGTATGTCTTCCATCCCAAGACCAGAACAAGGCATGGGCTGTCCAGGGAGGGACTGCCACAGTAGGCCCCTCAAGGGCACCTCCCTGCACTTCCAGAGGCAGCTAGTCACAGAAGCCCTCCCTCCAAAGAGGGCCCCTCATCTCTACACTGTTCCATCTGCACCCACCACTGCCATTGTGCCAAGGGAACCTGCTGTCTCCTCAGATCCCAGCCACCTGACTACCAGTGGCAGCCCCTGTCTGATCCTTAGAGCACTGTTCGGAGACTTCTGCCAAGAACAGTTAGAAGAGAAAAGCAGAATCTCTAGGGGTTTGTGTTATATCTCTTTATATATTTAAAAAATTTCACAAAACAAAAAGCGAGAAAATCACTCTCTTCTCTCCTGGAGACTATTGTTTGGATCAGCATCCAACTGTCTCTTGCCCACCACCCATAGAACCCAGACTTACAGTCAGATGGAGAGCCTCAGAGGGCTTAAGAGGAGTGACCGCCAGGGTCCACCCAGCGATGCCACCACTGGTCTGGCCTGGCCTTGGCCCTGAGGAATCAGTCTGCAGTTATCTAGAACTCCCTGTCTGCATACTGCTCCTTCCCATATGTCTGTAGCTCTGGTCCAGACAGTGGCTGGAGGGGCTCTGGGCCACTCTGGCCCATTGAAGTGTAGAATGACCAGTACAGGATTTTAGATGGTTTAAGGTGACTTCTAGCAAGCTACCAAATCTCTCCATACTTCAGTCTCCTCTCCCTAAAATGGAAATAATGCTATACTATCTAGGGTTAGTATAAGAATTAAATGAGTTGATTTTTAAAAAGTTTTTAGAACAGCCTCTGACACATAGTATGTGCTATGTAAATGTTTGCTAAATAAATAAAATGCGAAGATCATAGCATTACACAGCACTGACTCACAAGTGCAAAAGTAGTTTCCATTTAACTCTTCTTTCAATCTGTCTGATTACATCAAGAGGTGCTCACACCTCAGTTTTGCACTAATATGTCTTGAGCACCTCTCTAACATGCTTTTCCCAAAATAGGGGCAGGTTTCAGACTCAGAGCATTTGGCAGGCAAGGGCTGCTCTAGAATTTAGTAATTTTGTTTTATTTTCAGTGCAATTAATTTTACATTTACTTTTTCTTCTTAGTATGTAATATTGGCTTTCCATTTATGATAGAAGTGATATAAAACTCGTTTAAGATACAAATTGAGTAAATTTAAAGAAAAACATAAAGTAAATAATGATATCGGTGACTTATGGTCATGGCAAAAGCTGACTTTCGGAAATGAATCCCAGAAGTTAGGGACACACACACACACACACACACACACACACACACACACACACACAATCTCTAAAGCGAGGACTCCCTGCACTGGTACAGTCCCAAATGGGCCTGAGATACTGATTTTTGATCTACTTTGTGGAGTGTCTCTCCTTGCTTCCATCCCTCTGTCCCACATGGGCCCAGCCTAGCTGACACCACCTTCACGGTGCCCAGTGCATGTGGTCTAGCCCTCCAGACATGCACTAAGCTGGTGCCTCTTAAGGTTCTGCCACTGCAGAGGCCTCTCTCCCCTCATTCTGTCTCCCCTCACTCTCTCTCTCTCTCTTTTAATCTTCCTGCCTGGCAGAGTGGCTGTAAATTACCACATTAATTTCCAAATCAAGCCAAGTTCCATAGTAACGGACCAGCTCCCATCCAGACCTGAAAAGATTCATTAGGAAGTTGATTTGCTAAGTGCCCTCAACTTACTCCTTCAAAACAACAGCTGCATTTACCCAATTCTGATAGCTCTACAGGGGTGGGGGCTCCAAGTGGCTGTGATCCTGACACGGAGTGAGTCCTTGAGCAGGAAGGGTGGGAAAGTTGGGGGATTTCAGAAGCAGTGGAATATAGGCCCCAGGTGGCCGTCAGAAATCTGGGTACTTCAGTGAGGGGGATGCTGATCTGCCTGCCCCCCTGGAGAACTCCTGGATGCCTATTCCATTTGTTCTATTTGTGGGCAGACTTGTTAAACCTGCTGGAGAGGTAGCTGGGGAGTGTCTCAGGGACTGGCAGGCCCTGGGATACTGGAACTTTGTGGAGTGTCTCTCCTTGCCTCAATCCCTCGGTCCCACATGGGCCCAGCCCATGTTGGAACTGTGGCTATGGGGCAATAAGTAGGGGTTGCAGGCCACCCCAATCTCTTTATGCTAAGGGGAAGGACTGAGAAGCCAGGGAACATATTTCATGGTTAAAAGGGTTCAGTAAAAATATTTCTCTACAAGGTTCAGGTAATTTTCTATGTAAACTGTCCCCAACAGGGTATTCTTTGGAAACTTCCATCTTCTCATATATAAAATGGGGACAATAATACTTTCTCACAGGGTTGCCATGAGGTCTGAATGGGACAATGTATGAAGAGTACTTACTACAGTGCCTGGCATGAAGTTAGCTCTCTTTATCTGTGATGCTGATGATAGAGTGATGATTCAAAGTTCACATTTCTGTCAACAACAACACTATCTACCTATTGATCCATCTGACTCCCTTGGCATTCCCTCATTCAGCAAGTGGACAGATCCTGAAGGTGCCTCTTCCTAAGCATCTCTCTGTTCTACCACCAGCTCGTCTTCCCCCTGCCCTAGTGAGGCTGTTGTCAGTTTTTGTTTGTTTGTTTGTTTGTTTCTGAGACGGAGTCTCACTCTGTCGCCCAGGCTGGAGTGCAGTGGCGTGATCTCAGCTCACTGCAAGCTCCACCTCCTGGGTTCACGTGCCCCTGCCTCAGCCTCCCAAGTAGCTGGGACTGCAGGCTCCCACCACCATGACTGGCTAATTTTTTTTTTTTTTGTATTTTTAATAGAGACGGGGTTTCACCCATTTGGATGCTAACTGATGTCCCTGCCCCAGTCAGAGCTGAAAGGGACAAGTGAGGCAATTTCTCCTCCTTTCCCCCTCCTTTCTTTCCCCTAAGGAGCAGTGGTTAAGGTTGAGGCTCTGGAGTGGCTAAAGCTCTAAGGAAGACAGACATGGAGTCTCATCAGGATTCACCAATCACTCACTGAGTAGGGGACTTGACTTCCCTGAGCCTACATTTTCTCATCTGTAAAACTGTATGAGGTTTCTTCTCACCTTATGAAATACTGTGAGGTTAAATGAGATTGTGTTTGTGAATTGGTTAGCCCAGGGCCTGGTTCAGAATAAATGTTAGCTACTGTGTCCATTTTCCGGGGCCAGGCCTTGTATTGAGCCCTGGGGCTCAGAGCTGGGTGCAACTTACACCCTGCCTTCCAGGTGCTCACTTGCAGATGGGAGAGATGGACATCTGAAGGCGTAATCATAACTTGAGGCACCAGAGGTGGTAGTGGGCTCTCCAGGAAGACTTCCTGAAGGAGGCCACACAGACTGGAAGGATTGGCCATGTGGCATAGCAGGATAGGAATTGCGCATGAGCAGAGATACTCAAACTTGTTACAAACACACTCTGAGGCCAAGGCCCTGGGCCCAAGTTTCCTGCAGAAATCTGAAGAGTGTGTAGTAGTCAGAGATCAGCTGGCCAGGCCAATATGCCTGTAAAAACCAAGGCTCAGGACCAAGGTGATCATTTTGAAATGGGGTTGTGGGTCAGTGGTGCAGGACTCAGGATTGCCCCTGGGGAAAACTGAGGCAGAGACAAGTGGGAAGGATCACCCTACCAGGAAGAGAACCAAGGTGCAGCCATGCCTGGAAGAGCTCCCCTTTTGATAGCGCCTAGTTTGGGGACAGCAATTTCCTAGCAGTTTCCTGTCTGTGCTGAAACAGCTTCAAGCCAGTGTGCAGGCTCTCCCGGCAGCTGCCCAAAGGCGAGGTCTTCCTAACGGCATTTGTATTTGCACTACACATTCCTGCAGCCTGTCGGGCAGGGGTGGGGAGGGCTTGTTTTAATTTGGCAGAAATTAATAAGTCTGAGTGGAGAGACATCACACATAGGGCTGAACATGGCATTGTCACCCCTTCTAATTTGTTAGACAATACAGCCCTGCTGCAGCTTCCAGTGTAGATGAGGAAAAATAAACACATGTATATTAATGACTTTAAAAGATTTCTATTTATCCAAGCGTGTCTCTTTCTTTTTATTCAGCATTTCATCAGATCAATAATTAGTCCCCATACATTTTAATAACTGGAGTTTTCACTTACGATTGTTTTTCATAATTTTGCATTTATGTTTGACAAGTTCAGGAACTTGTTCAGTTTGAAAAGGGAAGAAGAAAGTCAGGGATGGTTTCTTCTTGTGTCGTGGTGTCTCAAATCTAAAAGGGCAGAGAAGATGTGAACTGAGAGGGGCTCACCGAAATCTGGTGAGTCTCCTGGACTGCTTGTGTTCTGGGTGGTCCTAACCTCAGGGATGTATGTGTTGGGGTGGGAACAGGGGATTGGATTCTCCATTATTCGCTGTTTTTAAAATGTTGTAATTAGCAATAAGCCCTGCTCAGAAAGGAGATCTAGTGGGGGAAGGTGGGAGCTGTTTCACATGCTGCAGCCAGCTAAGCATCTTCAACAGGCATTTTACCAATTACAACAAGTGTACCACACTCATACATGAGGTTAATAATAGGGGAAGAGAGAAAAAACAATTAGATGCAATAAAAAATGATAAAGGGGATAATACCACCGATCTCACAGAAATACAAACTACCATCAGAGAATACTATAAACACCTTTAAGCAAATAAACTAGAAAATCTAGAAGAAATGGATAAATTGCTGTACACAAATATCCTCCCAAGACTAAACCAGGAAGAAGTTGAATCCCTGAATAGACCAATAACAGGCTCTGAAATTGAGGCAATAATTAATAGCCTACCAACCAAAAAAAGTCCAGGACCAGATGGATTCACAGCCAAATTCTACCAGAGGTACAAAGAGGAGCTGATACCATTCCTTCTGAAACGATCCCAATCAATAGAAAAAGAAAGAATCCTCCCTAACTCATTTTATGAGGCCAGCATCATCCTGATACCAAAGCCTGGCAGAGACACAACCAAAAAAGAGAATTTTAGACCAATATCCCTGATGAACATCAATGCAAAAATCCTCAATAAAATACTGGCAAACTGAATTCAGCAGCACATCAAAAAGCTTATCCACCACGATCAAGTTGGCTTCATCCCTGGGATGCAAGGCTGGTTCAACATACGCAAATGAATAAACATAATCCAGCATATAAACAGAACCAAAGACAAAAACCACATGATTATCTCATTAGGTGCAGAAAAGGCCTTTGACAAAATTCAACAGCCCTTCATGCTAAAAACTCTCAATAAACTAGGTATTGATGGGCGTGTCTCAAAATAATAAGCGCTATTTATGACAAACCCACAGTCAATATCATACTGAATGGGCAAAAACTGGAAGCATCCTCTTTAAAAACTGGCACAAGACAGGGATGCCCTCTGTCACCACTCCTATTCAACATAGTGTTGGAAGTTCTGGCCAGGGCAATCAGGCAGGATAAAGAAATAAAGGGGATTCAATTAGGAAAAGAGGAAGTCAAATTGTCCCTGTTTGCAGATGACATGATTGTATATTTAGAAAATCCCATCATCTCAGCCCCAAATCTCCTCAAGCTAATAAGCAACTTCAGCAAAGTCTCAGGCTACAAAATCAATGTGCAAAAATCACAAGCATTCCTATACACCAATAACAGACTAACAGAGAGCCAAATCATGAGTGAACTCCCATTCACAATTGCTTCAAAGAGAATAAAATACCTAGGAATCCAACTTACAAGGGATGCGAAGGACGTCTTCAAGGAGAACTACAAACCACTGCTCAACAAAATAAAAGAGGACACAAAGAAATGGAAGAACATTCCATGCTCATGGATAGGAAGAATCAATATCATGAAAATGGCCATACTGCCCAAGGTAATTTATAGATTCAATGCCATCTCCATCAAGCCACCAATGACTTTCCTCACAGAATTGGTAAAAACTACTTTAAAGTTCATATGGAACCAAAAAAGAGCCCGCATTGCCAAGACAATCCTAAACCCAAAGAACAAAGCTGGAGGCATCGCACTACCTGACTTCAAACTATACTGCAATGCTACAGTAACCAAAACAGCATGGTACTGGTACCAAAACAGAGATATAGGCCAATGGAACAGAACAGAGCCCTCAGAAATAATACCACACATCTACAAACCATCTTTGACAAACCTGACAGAAACAAGAAATGGAGAAACGATTCCCTATTTAATAAATGGTGCTGGGAAAACTGGCCAGCCATAGGTAGAAAGCTGAAACTGGATCCCTTCCTTACACCTTATACAAAAATTAATTCAAGATAGATTAAAGACTTAAATGTTAGACCTAAAACCATAAAAACCCTAGAAGAAAACCTAGGCAATACCATTCAGGACATAGGCATGGGCAAGGACTTCATGACTAAAACACCAAAAGCAATGGCAACAAAAGCCAAAATTCACAAATGGGATCTAATTAAACTAAAGAGTTTCTGCACAACAAAAGAAACTACCATCAGAGTGAACAGGCAACCTACAGAATGGGAGGAAATTTTTACAATCTACCCATCTGACAAAAAGCTAACATCCAGAATGTACAAAGAACTTAAATACATTTACAAGAAAAAATCAAACAACCCCTTCAAAAAGTGGGCAAAGGATATGAACAGACACTTCTCAAAAAAAGACATTTATGCAGCCAACAGACTCATGAAAAATGCTCATCATCACTGGCCATCAGAGAAATGCAAATCAAAACCACAATGAGATACTATCTCACATCAGTTAGAATGGCGATCATTAAAGAGTCAGGAAACAAGAGGTACTGGAGAGTATGTGGAGAAATAGAATACTTCTACACTGTTGGTGGGACTGTAAACTAGTTCAACCGTTGTGGAAGACAGTGTGGTGATTCCTCAAGGATCTAGAACTAGAAATACCATTTGACCCAGCCATCCCATTACTGGGTATATACCCAAAGGATTATAAATCATGCTGCTATAAAGACACACGCACACATATGTTTATTGCGACACTATTCACAATAGCAAAGACTTGGAACCAACCCAAATGTCCATCAATGATAGACTGGATTAAGAAAATGTGGCACATATACACCATGGAATACTATGCAGCCATAAAAAAGGATGAGTTCATGTCCTTTGTAGGGACATGGATGAAGCTGGAAACCATCATTCTGAGCAAACTATCGCAAGGATAGAAAACCAAACACCACATGTCGTCACTCATAGGTGGGAATTGAACAATGAGAACACTTGGACATAGGGCGGGGAACATCAAACACTGGGGCCTGTCATGGGGTGGGGGGAGGGGGGAGGGATAGCATTAGGAGATACACCTAATGTAAATGACGAGTTGGCGGGTGCAGCACACCAACATGGCACATGTATACATAAGTAACAAACCTGCATGTTGTGCACATGTACGCTAGAACTTAAAGTATAAAAAAAATAAATAGGTGAAATCGTGTGGAGATGGGGTAAGGATATATGCAAAATATGTGCTTTCTGCTCATTTTTTTCTATAAACCTAAGTAAACTCTTCTGAAAAAGAAGAGAGAGACATTTTAGTCCCCCACACTTCTAACATTGAGTTCCTTTGTCCTTCAGGAAAGGCCATTGTCACAGTGGTGGTGGGAGGCACCTGATTTCCTTGACACCTACTTTACACCACGTACTTTCTGTATTGCCATTGAACCTGTGACCACCTTGTTCAGCAGGTATTATTATTCTGCCTTACAGAAGGGGGGACATGAGTCACATCGGGTCACACAGCTGGGAGGGCTCTGAACTTGGCTCTCCTGATTCTGTGTCTGTGCTCCTTTACTGCATCCCACTCCCCCTGCTTCACACCGCTTCTTTCCACTCTTCTATTATGACGCAGCACATGAGTAATTTCTCCCGGGAAGCCTCCCCGGCTCCTCAGGTTTCCTCTGTGGCCTCCACACCACTGTGCTTCCCTCTGTCATGGCACTGATCTGTGCTACGGGAGTGTAGATCAGTGCTCTGTGTCTGTACCAGTGGGTTGTCATCCTCTGTTGACATGATGTCTCTCCCATTAGAATCTGAGCTCCTCGGGGTGAGGACTCTACTTGTTTATCTTTGCATTTTTGGGCCTTGAAAATAAATATCTGTGGTAGAAAGAAAGGGAGGGAAGAAAGGAGACTGATAAGGAAAGAAGAATGAATTTATACTAAAATAAATTGAGCAGATTGTAGAGTTTTAGACTTTCTTGATGCAAAATATTAAGGATGAATAGAGAAGCTTCATTTCTCTTTCTCCATCTCTCTCTTTTTAGTTTTTATGAGTGTGAAGGTTTTAATTTATTATTAAAGGCATATTATTATTTTTTAAAGAACTAGATGCTCTAAGCAAGACAAAGAAAGCTAAGACATGTCTTTATTTTCTCAGACCTTATCATGGAGTGTGAGAGACATGTATATAGGATATTGTAAATAACTAAATAAGGGAGCTTATTTTTAAGAAGGGAGGGGAATGGGAGACTTATTTTTTAAGCATCTGCAACCAGCCAGGAGCTGAATTAAGTACTTTGCATACATTATCTCATTCAATCCTCACACTTGTGCAATGGGCATGACAGCCCCCATTTTATAAATAAGGAGACCGAGGCTCAGGTTTGGGGAACCAAATGACTCACAGAACTAGCTGGTAAGGAATATGGGTCAGAGGGCTCCCAGATTTGTCAATTTCCCAAAGCTTATTCTCAGTCAAGTTCCCAAATGAAGAGACCAGTCAACACATATGGTTTCTCACGGGCAGTAGTGGCGGGGAGAAGATAGTCTGCTGGTCCTCACCTGCTAGCCTGCTCAGTTGCCAGCCCCAAGGCTCTCTTGCATTGCTCAGGCCCTGGGCCATCCTGAAGCTGGCAGGATGGCTTTGGGCTTAGCCTCAATAGTGGGTGGGTTCTGGAATTAGGCTCACAGCCTGAGCCTGGCATGTTGGATGCCTGCTGGGAGCTCTCTGATCCATATCCTCCTTTCTTGGTGGTGGCCCAGTAGATGCTTGCTGCAGTTTCCGTGATAGATCTCCAGTGTCCTACAGAGGCCTCAGCCTTGCCCTCAGCCTACTTGGCTGACACCTTGATCCTATAACTGGGTATTCCTTCTAGCTGAAGGAGCAGAAAGAGTAACATCATGTCAACCAGTGTCCACTTTGCAGTGAAGCAAATCCCTCTGGGCATTTCAAGCAGAAGACTTGGTTACAAAGATATTGATGGACTGGAGAGCAAAAGGGGAAAGGGGGAGCTCCTCAGAGATTAGTTATTATAAGGAAGTGATTACTGATCCCAGGTCTGAAGAAGTAAAAGTGAGACAGTGGAGGCTGCACTCCTGAAGAGACATTCCTAGAGCCAATGTCAGTGCAGCTCCTGGAATACAAGAGCCCACACTCCCACAGATGACAGAAGCCAACAATGGCTTCAATTTTCTTCCTGCCTTCTGATGGCCCATGTGTGTCCCTCAGCTGCAGAGCAGACTGGAACCCAGCTGGAATGGGAGTCTGAAAAATGTAGTTCTTGGGTCTCCAGCCATGATGGTACATGAAAGACCAATTGACCATATCTAGCACAGGATGGAAAGAGCAGGGGCTTGAGAATCGGGTGCCACTGGGTTCAAATTCTGCCTCTGCTTTAATGGGTCCTTGTGGAAATTGCTTAACTCCCTCTGACCTAGTTTTCTCATCTGTAAAGTGGAAATAATAATAATACTTTACTCATAGGGCTATTGTGAGGCTTAATTGAGATTATACGTATAAAGCACTTAACACAGTCCCTGTCCATAATAAGTACTCTATAAATGTTAGATACCATTGGCAGTGGTGTATTTCAGTTCACTTTTTTTCCATATGTAATCTTTTGTTTCCTGAACTGCTCATCTCTGACTCCTTACCACTACAAATCTGTGCCCAGGTTCCCCACCTGTGAAGGCTTTTAAAAATGAATCAGATTCTCAGAAGATATTGTACATTTGCAGAGCACCTTTCACCTATGCTGCATCAAAGTGGGATCCTACCCAAAATTGTACTTTTCCTCACTCTCTTCACCTCAGTTTCCCTGGTGATTATGAGAAAGTTAACAGGGTTCAAGCAGAAGGGTTAACAAGGTTCAACCAATCATGCCTTCTCAACAGTCCCCCAAAGTCTTAACTCATTTCAGCATTAACTCAAAAGTCCACAGTCCAAAGTCTCATCTGAGACAAGGCAAGTCCCTTCTGCCTATGAGCCTGTAAAATCAAAAGCAAGTTAGTTACTTCATAGATATGATGGGAGTACAGGTATTGGGTAACTACATATCTTCAAAATGGGAGAAATTGGCTAAAACAAAGGGGGTATAGGCCCCATGCAAGTCTGGAACCACTATGTGCTCACATCTGTGATCTCTTTAACTCCCCATTGCAACCATTAAGGCAGGATTATTGAATCCATCTAGTAGAGAAGAAGACTGAGGCCTAGAAATATTGTAGGTTCAGGTGACTCCCCTTCTGTGCTCCACCTACTCCTGTCTCCAATGTCCTATGGTAGGAGTCAGAGGGTAGGACTGCTTGGGTGGTGCTCAGCTCCTTTCAGCATGTTTCCTGGGTGCCCATGGGTGGTGGGCACACAGCCAGGCAGTCGCTGCCAAGCCCATCCGTTCTGTATTCAGCTCACGAGACTCACGCAGCTAGGAGGGGGTTGGCAGCAGGAAGAGGATGGTGTGAGAAAAGAACATCTCATGCTCCCCTTGCCCACGCATGAACCGCTCCTGGAGTAGTTGGATTCAGCCACTTTATTCTGCTTTCTGGCTCTTAAAGTGCAATATTGGGCTGGTTCCAATTCAATCCCATTTCACATGAGTTTACTGAGTATCTACACAGATAGATCAGGCCCAGGGTCTGCACTGGAGGGACTCACAGTCTCGGGAGGCAGATATGTGACAACAAAGATGGCATTCTTGTGTCAGTGCTATTTCAAGGAGGCACAAGAGCTATGAGAACAGAAATTTGGGGCTTCTAATTCTGCCTGGAGAGTCAAGCAAGACACCTTAGAAGATATAACTACCCAGCTAAGACTTGAAGGAAGCAGTAGAACTGGTTTGATGATGGGGATGCTGGCCCAGGCAGAGGGAGCAGAATATGCAAAAGCCGTTGGGGGAAACTAAGAAAGGCTCATGCCACTGACACATGGAGGGCAAAAAAATTTGTGGCAAATGCTGAGGCCATGAGGGGAAGAAAAGGGCTGAATCATGCCGGGCCTGGGTACCATGGATAACCAGCCACAGAGAGGTTTTAAGTAGGAAAGTGACATGCTAGATTTATGATTCAGAAAGAGCATTTTGGGGCCAGAGTGGAATAGGAGAAGACCCAACAGAAGACAGGGAGGCCACTGAGGTGAAGGCTGTTGCTGTATATGAGGAGGAATGGTGGTTGCCTGGACTGGGGCAGCAGTACAAGGAATGGAGTTCATTCATGAGATACTTAGAAGTAGAAGCAACCACTAAAATGATAGTAATCAATGCATAACACATAGAATTCTTGCTATATACCAAGCATTGTTCTAAGTGCTTGATATATAACTAAATTCGTTCTCACAATAACCCAAAGACACATGCCCAGAGGGCTGTAGAAACATATTCAAGGTTATATACCTTGTAAGTGTTGGAGTCAGTCAGGATTTGAACTCAGGAAGACTATCTCCAGAGTCCATGTCCTCAACCCCACATTATACTGCTTCTTGAGGTCACAGTGCTTGGTAGCTGCTTAAGTGTGAGGGATGACGGTCAGTGTATTAGTCTGTTCTCATGCTGCTAATAAAGACGTACCTGAGACTGGCTAATTTAGAAAGAAAAAGAGGTTTAATGGACTCACAGTTCCACATGGCTGGGGAGGTCTCACAATCATGGCAGAAGGCAAAAGAGGAGCACAGGCATGTCTTACATGGTAGCAAGCAAGAGAGCATGTGTAGAAGGACTGCCCTTTATAAAACCATCAGATCATGGGAGACTTAGTCACTATCATGAGAACAGCACTGGAAAAACTCACCTCCATGATTCAATTACCTCCCACTGGCTCCCTCCCACAATGCATGGGGATTATGG
Source organism: Homo sapiens (assembly GCF_000001405.40). Classification (NCBI taxonomy): domain Eukaryota; kingdom Metazoa; phylum Chordata; class Mammalia; order Primates; family Hominidae; genus Homo; species Homo sapiens. The sequence continues at coordinate 50,235,868 of NC_000001.11, read as the reverse complement.
GAGCTACAATTCAAGATGAGATTTGGGTGGGGATACAGCCAAACCATATCATTCTACCCCTGGGCCTCCTAAGTCTCATGTCCTCACATTTCAAAACCAATCATGCCTTCCCAACAGTCCTCAAAAGTCTTAACTCATTTCAGCATTAACTCAAAAGTCCATAGTCCAAAGTCTCATCTGAGACAAGGCAAGTCCCTTCAGCCTGTGAGCATGGAAAATCAAAAGATAGTTGGTTACTTCCTAGACATAATGGGGACACAGGAATTAGGTAAATACACATGTTCCAAAAGGGAGAAATTGGCCAAAACAAAGGGGGTACAGGCTTCATTCAAGTCTGAAATCCAGCAGGGCAGTCAAATTTTAAAGCTCAAAAATGATCTCCTTTAAATCCATGTCTCACATCCAGGTCATGCTGATGCACAAGGTGGGCTCCCATGGCCTTGGGCAGCTCCACCCCTGTGGCTTTTCAGGGTACAGCCCCCTTCCTGGCTGCTTTCATAGGCTGGTGATGAGTGCCTGTAGCTTTCCCAGGTGCATGGTGCAAGCTGTCGATGGATCCTTCTGGGGTCTGGAAGACGGTGGCCCTCTTCTCACAGCTCCAGTAGGTAGTGTCCCAGTGGGGACTGTGTGGGGGCTCTGACCCCATATTTCCCTTCCACATTACCCTAGCAGAGGTTCTCCATGAGGGTTCCAGCCCTACAGCACACCTCTGCCTGGATATCCAGGTATTTCCATACATCCTCTGAAATCTAAGTGGAGGTTCCCAAACCTCAATTCTTGACTTCTGTGTACCTACAGGCTGAACACCACATGTAAGCTGCCAAGTCTTAGGGCTTGCATCTTCTGAAGCCCTGGTCTGAGCTGTGCGTTGGTTCCTTTTAGCCATGGCTGGAGTGGCTAGGATGCAAGGCAGCAAGTCCTGAGGCTGCACAAAGCAGGGAGGTCCTGGACCCACCCCAGGAAACCATTTTTCCCTCCTAGGCCTCTGGGCCTGTGATGGGAGGGGCTGCCAGAAAGGTCTCTGACATGCACTGGAGACATTTTCCCCTTTGTCTTGGTGATTAGCATTTGGTTCCTTGTTACTTATGCAAATTTCTGCTGCCCGGCTTGAATTTTTCCCCAGAAAATGGGGTTTCCTTTTCTTCTGCATCATCAGGCTGTGAATTTTCAAAACTTTTATGCTCTGCTTCCTCTTAAACACTGCCACTTAGAAATTTCTTCCACCAGATACCCTAAATCAGCTCTCTCAAGTTCAAAGTTCCACAGATCTCTAGGGCAGGGGCAAATTGCTGCCAGTATCTTTGCATAGCAAGAGCTACCTTTACTCCAGTTCCCAACAAGTTCCTCATCTCTATCTGGGACCACCTCAGCCTGGACTTTATTGTCCATATCACTAACAGCATTTTGATCAAAGCCATTCAACAAGTCTCTAGGAAGTTCCAAACTTTCCTGCATCTTCCTGTCTTCTGAGCTTTCCAAGTCTCCAGGAAGTTCCAAACTTTCCCACATTTTCCTGTCTTCTTCTGAGCTCTCCAAACTGTTTCAACCTTTGCCTGTTACCCAGTTCCAAAGTTGCTTCCACATTTTGGGGTGTCTTTACAGCAACACCCTACTCATAGTACCAATTTACTGTATTAGTCTGTCCTTACATTGCTAATAAAGACATAACCAAGACTGGGCAATTTATAAAGAAACAGAGTTTTAATGGACTCACAGTTCCACATGGCTGGGGAGGCCTCACAATCATAGTGGAAGGCAAAGGAGGAGCAAAGTCACATCTTGCATGACAGCAGGCAAGAGGGCATGTGCAGGGGAACTGTGCTTTATAAAACCATCAGATCTTGTGAGACTTATTCAATATCAGGAGAACATCACGGGAAAACCTGCCCACATGATTCAATGACCTCCCACTGGGTCCCTCCCACAACATGTGGGGATTATGGGAGCTAAAATTCAAGGTGAGATTTGGGTGGGGACACAGCCAAACCATATTAGTCAGGGAGGAGTTCAGCATGACTCCCAGTTTCCACAGAAGCTCATACTATCCTATGCCTTTTAGCAGGGGAAGGGAAAAGTTGGAGGAAGATGAAGAAGGAAGCGTAGCTGTACTTCTCGGTGGCTGATGACCACCTAGGCCCAGATACAATTTTCTCTCTGAACCCAGCTTTTTGTCCTCCTCCTTTCTGGCATCTTGTGAAATCACTGACATTGTTCAAAACCATCAGCTTTTGATGAACCCTGGAAGTTTATTTAGCAAACATTTCCTCCCCAAGGAAGGAAATGGAAATGCTTCTGACATGCTTCTGTCATTGACAGTCTTGCCGGGGTCATTCCTGCTTCCTCTCTCTCCCACCTGCTAATGTACTCCATTTATTAGCATGTTCCCTAAACTATCTGTGGTGAAGTACCTTTTATTTTTCCATTTTCAATTTGCTGTAGACTGATACTTTTGTAAAATACAATAAAAATGTCTCAGAAATGTCAAATTACTATAAAGTCCTTGTTCTCTTGCTTTTTGTACTTGTCTTGCTGTGGACTGTAGTTCACAGATCAGCCCCAGTTCACAGACCACTTTGTTGAGCACTGCTCAAGTTTTCTGTCTCTAATTCTATGCCACCACCCTGAACTGAGCCATCATCACTTGCCTGTACTCTGCAGTAGTCTCCTAAGTGGTCCATCCTCATCCACTCTGGTCCTCTCTAATCCATTCTTCACTTGGTAGCTAAGGAATCCTCTAACCCACAAATCTGACTATGTCATGTCCTTGCTTAAACCATTGACGCATTTCCCTTTGCCATCAGGAAGGTTTATGATAGGCCAATTCCTACTTCTTATTTCCTATCTTAACTCTCACTTTCCTCCTCATTCACATATGACAGGCTTCAAGTCATATCAAACTGTTATAATTTTTTTAATAACGAATGTGCTGTCTCATGCCTTAGGGCTTTTGCACAGGCTGTTCTCTCTATGTGGAATGACTTTTCCCCCAAAATTCATTCATTTATTCATTCAACCAACACCCGTGGGACACCCAATATAAACTAAATATCATGTTAAGTACTGGGACTGCATAGATGAAGAAGACGCAGTCCATTTCCTTCAGGAACTCATGATCTAACAGAGAGAGACAAGTAAATTGACAATGATCACACAAGGGAGCAAAGTGATGACAAAAGAAAGTGCAAGGGCAGTGGGAGTCCAGAGGAGAGTCTTATAACCTAGCCTGGGGTCAGGAAAGTCTTCCTGGAATAGATGACACTTGGACAGATCACCAAGTAATCATTCAGAGCTTGCCAGGAAACAGCAGAGGTCGGGGTAAGGAAGGAAAGATGATCTGGGCCAAGGAGCACCTGGCAGGAAAGTAGGGAAAGGAATGGCAAGAGTTTTCCTCATTGCCCAGCTGTTCTTTGTCAGGCCCTGTGCTCTAGGGATGCGGCTGTGGTGCCAAGTATCCCACGCATGAACACACACCTACAGACTTAAATACACACAGATGTAAAAACATATATGGAGAACTTTGAAAACATTATGGTAGGCAAAACAATCTAGACACAAAAAGTCACATATTGTATTATTCCATTTACATAAAGTATCCAGAATAGGTAAATCCATAGAGGCAGAAAACAGGTTGCCAGGGGCTGGGGGAGGGAGGAATATGGAGTCACTGCTTAATAGGTACAGAGTTTCTTTGGGGGAAGATGAAAATGTTTTGGAACTAGATGGAGGTGATGGTTGCACAACATTATGAAAGTACAAAGTGCCACTGAACTGTACTCTTAAAATCGGTTAATTTTATGTTATGTAAACTTTACCTAATTTAAAAAATATGGAAACATATATATATACTCAAAAAATATTCTCTAAGTGCCTGACATGTGTGAAGTACTAAGTAAACACTAGAGATTCAGAGTTCCTGTCCCTGAAATTTCCACTCCTGGGATTAGAAGCACATATATCTGAACCCATACAGACTAAAACACATGCTTCATGAAAACATACAGAAACATTCACTTATTCATTTAACAAATACTTATTGAGGGCCTACTATGTGTCAGGCAATAGGCCAGGTGCTGGGCCTCCAGTGGTTAACAAATAGACATAATTACTGTCCTCCTGGCTCGTGGACACAAACGTATAATCACCCATAGCGGCACACCAGATTGAAGTACACAAACACACACTACCTAAACAAGGACACAGCCAAAGCCCACCAGCCAAATATGTGTTGGGTGAAAGAAATGGGCAATGACACACAGACAGGCAAGAATAGTCCCTTATGCTCCCTGATATGCACACTTCCCTCATGCAATCAATGGGAGTTCCATTAAAAGTCAGATTAAAATGAACTCGGGATTTCAGTGCCTTCTCAGGAGAGAGGAATAAACAGGCCTCAGCAGAAAGGCCTGGAGCATTGAGACAAAAAAAATCCCCAAGCCTCACTTAAGTGATTTTTGGCAGAAATCAAATTAACGGCGAGACTATGGACCGCTGACAAGGTGCTCCATCATGCTCTGCTGTGTGAATGTGTTTTTTCTACATGTTGTTTTCATTAGCACTTCATTTGATAATGATAAATGGCATTTTCATTTGAAAGGAAAATATTAAAAAGTTCTGATTTGCAAGAGCAAGTTGGAATAAACGATATTATTATGTCCTGTCACTTGTTCAGCTCAGAGAAAAATAATAATAATGATAATAAAAAACCCCAACAGCTTTCCCTGCTGAAGAAACACAGGCATTTTATTTCTCCAGTGGGCCATTTTCTTGCTATCAAATCTGTCCTTGGCACAGAGACTGCCGAAAGGCAATGGTCTTGGAGGGTGAAGAAATTGTGGAGACGTCAAAGGCTATCAGGAGAAGGTGACCTTGGGAAGTCTTGGTCCCCTTGGAGTCTAGCAGGAGGAGGGATTGCTCGCTGGCCTAATCTCTGTAGGGGCCTGGAATGCACTTTCTTGCCTTTGAGTCAAATTTCAGAGGCTTTTTTTCTACTAGTTTATAGAAGTCTGGGCTCTTATGAGCTTACTTTAAGGGCTCCAGGGGTCATTATTCTGGTTGAGCAAGTTACTACCTTGCTTAAAACTCATTGAAGTCCTCTTCATTATGTACAGGATAAAGTCCTAACTCCTTAGCCTGGCATCCAATGCCGTTGGTGACCTTGCTCCTGCCTCCAGCCTCAACTCTCACAAATTCCCCTATACTTATCTAGTGCTCTAGTTACATTGAACTTCTTACTATTCCCTGCACATGCTTTCTCTTTTACCCAAATGCCATGCAGCTCCCCTTGACCACTCCTTGGGTGAACTTCTACTGATTCCAAGATCCAGATCAAGCACCTCCCTATGAGACCTTGTTTGAACCCTCTCCTGGAAGGGCATTCATTTATTGGTTCCCAAGCCTTGTTTTTACATACTCCATCCACCATGGGCATGAATGCATAAAATAGCCTGGTGCAAATGAAAGGCTGCAAGTCATTGGCATGGCTGGTGCAAATGGTGTGAACAGGTGCTGCAACAGGGAGTGCTGAGCTGGAACTGGGCCCAGTCTGTAGTAGGCCTGGTGTCTTTAAAACCCCACCTCAGGCTAGTGAGTGCTTTCTTCTCTGGCTCCCATAGCACCCTGGGCTATCCCGGTCCAATGACCCATCATATTTCAATGTCCACAATTGTTGGGGTTCAGGGTTTTTCCCCTTTTCTGCCCATAGACTGTGAGCTTCTTTAGCACAGAGTCTGCTCTATGTTCCCTCAGTGTTCCCAGGACCCAGCACAGGGTCTACTTAAAGTGAGCACTTGTTAGATAATCAAGTGAGTGAATGATAGTATGATGGCATCTCTAAGAAGGGTTGTATCATCTTAACTCAATCAGAAGTTATGAAATTGAGGTCTGGGAAGAGTTGTTTGGACAACTTTTCCCCTAGTATTTCTTCATATCAGTAGCATAAACTTTACCTTATCCAGAGGTGAATCAGAGTCAAATAAGTTTGTTTGATAGCCCAGCACATCTCAGCAAGGGTCGATGGCATTAGCATGCATTGGGAGACTTTCAATGTCTGGCCTCAGCCCAGGCAATTGGTGAATCTCCTTTCTGTCTCCTTTGCTGCAGAAGGAGGAACGTGCCGTGACGAGAGAAGGCTGAATGTTTGCTGCCTCTGGAGGAAGTGAGAGCTGCTCAAAGGTGGTGACCACGGTAATAATGCAGACTTTGAGGCTGTCCTTGGTCTTTGTTCCTAAGCATTAGACCGTCTACTGCCTCTTTGATGTCCCCCAAGAACCCCATAAGATGGCGGTTTAACTAACATGAGATGAGCTTCCACTAAGAGGCAAACACCCTGTTTTGCATGATCGGCAGGAGAAGTATGACAATTCCCATTTTACAAATTAAGAGACTGAGATTCAGAGAGGGAAAGGGTCTTGCTCAAGGTCACACAGCTGGCTAGTAGGTGAAGCAGGACCAGCATCCAAGTTTGTCAGGTTAAGGGTCTCCCTCCCCCAGAACAAGATATCGTTGAGCATCCATAGGGTGCTTAGCTCTGGAATAGGTAGTGGGGGAGAGAAAGGGCTGAATGAGTTGTGGAAATTGAGATGGAGAATAGAGTCTGCATCCTGGCTGACGTTGAACCCCAGGCCTTCTTCGGACTTCAGCCTCCTCCCTGCTCATTCCACATCTCAGCCTATACTAGGCTCACACCTTTCCCTGTGCAGGCCCTGCTACATTCTTTACACCATGCCTTTTGTCAATACAGTCTTCCTGTCTGGCAGGCTCTTATCTTAACTTCACCTGTTAAAATTCCAAGCATCATTTAGGATCTAGCTCATATCCCACCTCCTCCAAGAAATCTGCGAGCAACATGTGGTTTGTTGTCCCCATGGCATTATGAGCCCTCAGGGGATATGTTTATAGAATGCAGCTAGTGTATTCTCTAATTCACTCTTGAATTGTGCCCTACACATAGTAGATGCTCCATTAATGTATATGTAATTATAATTATCATATCATATTCATCATTTTTAACATCTTAATACTTCCAGTATTTGTCTAAAATGGTACTTCCCAATAAACTTTAAATCACCTTCTTTAAAAATCTGCTGCTGGAAGCCATGGACTCTCCAGTCACAAATGCACAGAGGAGTCACATCATGTTCAGGTGTTCAGCTCTAAAGATAGTCTGTGAGACAAAAATCACATGTAGTTGAAATTACCCTTGCAAATCCTGTGAATGCCCTCAAAACTTCAGAGTATATAGTGTAGTATCTATATAGAAGTTAGTTGGTTTACATTTGGGAGCCATGTTGTATGAAAAAGTCTTTCTTTAAATAATAGAATCACTTCCAGCACAGCAAGAAGCTCACATATAAGAGGCACAGGGGAATTCAGATTGTGTGATGGACCAGCAGGTCTCTGCTTATATATATAAAATTTAGCATCATCTTCAAGAGGTTCATAGACCTCAAAGCTCAGACATGGACCTTGGGTTAAGGGTCTTTAGTACAGAGCTTTAAAATTTGCCAGGTGCTTCTCACACATTAGTTCATTTAAATGCTCAGAAACATTCTTTGAAATGGATAGCACTGATGTTATTCCTACTTTACCAATGAGGAAATTGAGACTCAGAGAGGCAAAATGACTTTTAGTCCAAAGACCTGGCTTTCTCATTCAAAGACTTTGCTCAAAGACTCCCACACTCTACTGCCTTCATGGCCACCTTGAGGGGTTAGACTGGTCCTTGATCCACTTATTGATGGAATAAGAGGATGTGTGACCTTAGACTAGTTACCTAACTTCTCTGAAAGCACTTTTTTTCAAAATAAAGATATTAATATCCACTGAGCAGTGTCCTTGTAGGATTAAATGAGCCATTGGATGTAAAATTGCTTGGCAGCGTGCCTAGGATATTGCAGGGGCTCCTCAGGGGCTGGATTTTCTTCCCCTTTTCTGCTAAAACTGGCACTCTCCCAGGAAATCAAACAGACAAAAACCTTCCTCTGCATTATTGGTGAGGTCCTGTCAATGATGGCTGGCCCTTCTCAGTGTCATCTCTGACCTCCAAAGGCCTTCAAAGAGTTGGAGTCTTGTACAAAACTGTTAGAGAATATGCAAACATCCCTCTGTGTTTTTGAAGTTTCTGAGGTTCTCAATGCCATTTATTTAAAATGGAGCAGAGAGCAGAGGAGCAGGCACCATGAGTCTGTCCCATCACAAATTCTGTGTGATGTTGGGCAGGTGTCTTCAATTAAAGAAACATTTTTGGAGACACAACTGTTTTTCTATTCATTCAGGCTTCAAGGCAACTCATGAATCTCTACTCAAACCCTCCAGTGGCTGCCTGTTTTACTTAGAGTAAAAGCCCAAGTCTTACAGGGGCCTATGAAGTCTTTATCTGTCAGAGTCCAACTGGGAAACACAATCCATACCAGGTAATTTAGTAGAGATTATTTAATGTAGGGAATTAGTTATAAACATGCTAGAAGAGCTGAAAGAGTAACCAAGAGAAAGTGGGGTAACCACAAATTTAACAAATGCAGGGCCCACCAATTCTCCCAAGACATGTGGGAATAAAGAGAGGAGTCCATGTTACTGGAGTCTGAGAGCTGGAGCTGCCCCACTGGAGCTGGAAACATGGCAGGTCTGTCTGTCGGGAGCTAGAGCCAGAGATGTGGCCCCTGCTAGAGACACCATTTGAAAAAGAGAGACCTGGTTTTTCTTCCTTCCCACTCTCTAATCTGCTGACAGTGCCTCCTATTGGCCAAATCTAGCCAGAAGCCTGAGGGCAAGGAAGCAGTACAGAGAAGGGGAGGAGGAGTATGAGAGGAAACTAACCACTGATGCTACAGGGACTTTCAGGATATGGTGCCCCCCTCCCCAGCCCCTATTATTTCTCTGGGATGATGTCCAACAAACATCTCGCGTCTTGCTCACTCCAGCCACATTGGCCTCCTCATTGCTATTTGGACCCACAAGGCCTTTACATTTTCTATTCCCTCTGTCTGGATTTTATTCACTAGATAGCCACATGGCTCCATTCCCTGCTTCCATCACTTTCTAAGTGAGAGGACTTCTACGACCATCGTATTAAAATTGTAACTACTTCCCCTTCGCTGGTTGTATGAGTCAATTCTCACATGGCTATAAAGAACTATCTGGGACTGGGTAATTTATGAAGAAAAGAGGGTTAATGTACTCACAGTTCTGCATGCTGTACAGGAAGCATGGCTGGGAGGCCTCAGGAAACTTAAAATCATGATGGAAGGGCAAAGGGGAAGCAAGTACAACTTCACATGGTGACAGGAGAGAGAAAGAGCAAACAGGGGAAAGTGCTATGTGTTTTAAAACAACCAGATCTCATGAGAACTTACTATCATGAGGACAGCAAGGGGGAAATCCAACCCCATGATCCAATCACCTCCCACCAGGTCCCTCCCCCAACATTGGGGATTACAAATCAACATGATATTTGGGTGGGGACGGAGAGCCAAACCATATCTTTCTGCCCTTCTAAATCTCATGTCCTTCTTACATTTCAAAATACAATCATGACTTCCCAACAGTTCCCCAAAGTCTTAACTCATTCCAGTGTTAACTCAAAAGTCCAAGAGACTTTGGAAGTTTCATCTGAGACAAGGCAACTCCCTTCCACCTATGAGCCTGTAAAATCAAAAACAAGTCAGTTACTTACAAGATACAATGGGGGTGCAGGCATTGGGTAAATTCTTCCATTCCAAAAGGAAGAAATTGGCCAAAACAAAGGGGCTATAGGCCCCATGCAAGTCCAAAACCCAGCAGGGTAGTCATTAAATCTTAAAGTTCTGAAATAATCTCCTTTGACTCCATGTCTCACATCCAGGGCATGCAGATGCAAGGGGTGGGCTCCCAAGGCCTTGGGCAGCTCCACTTCTGTGGCTCTGCAGGGTACATCCCCTGTGTCTGCTTTCAGGGCCTGGCATTGAGTGCCTGTGGCTTTTCTAGACGTATGGTGCAAGCTGTTAGTGGATCTACCATTTGGGGGTCTGGAGAATGGTGGCCCTCTTCTCACAGCTCCTCTAGGCAGTGTTCCAGTGGGGACTCTGTGTGGGGGATCCAACCCCATATTTCCCCTCTGCATTGCCCTAGTAGAGTTCTCTCCATGAGGGCTCTGACCCTGTAGCAGACTTCTGCCTGGATATCCAGACGTTTCCATACATCCTCTGAAATCTAGGCAGAGGACTCCAACCCTCAACTCTTGCCTTTTGCACACCCACAGGCCTAACACCATGTGGAAGCCACCAAGGCTTGAGGCTTGCACCCTCTGAAGCAATGGCCTGAGCTTTATCTTGGCCCCTTTTAGCCATGGCTGAGCTGGAGCATTTGGGATGCAGGGTGCCATGCATGTCCTGAGGCTGCACAGAGCAGCAGGGCCCTGGGCCTGGCCCACAGAACCATTTTTCCCTTCTAGGCCTCCTGGCCTGTGATGGGAGGAGCTGCTGTGAAGGTCTGTAAAATGCTCTGGAGGCATTTTCCCCATTGTCTTGGCTATTAACATTCAGCTCTTCTTCACTTATGCAAATTTCTGCAGCCTTGAATTCCTCCCCAGAAAATGAGTTTTTCTTTTCTACCACATGGTTGAGCTGCCAAATTTCTAAACTTTTATGATCTGCTTCCCTTTTAAATATAAGTTCTAGTTTCAGTTTATTTTTTTGTTTATGTAAATGACCATATGCTTTTAGAAGCAGCCAGGTCACATCTTGAATGCTTTGCTGCTTAGAAATTTCTTCCCCCAGCTACCCTAAATCATCTCTCTCAAGTTCAAAGCTCCACAGATGTCTAGAGCAGGGGCACAGTGCCACCAGTCTCTTTGCTAAAGCATAGCAAAAGTGAACTTTACTTCCCAGTAAGTTCCCAGTAAGTTCCCAGTTCTCAGTAAGTTCCTCATCTCCACCTGAAACCACCTCAGCCTGAACTTCATTGTTCATGTCATCATCAGCATTTTGGTCACAACCATTCAATGAGTCTCTAGGAAGTTCCAAACTTTTCCACATGTTCTTATCTTTTTCTGAGCCCTCCAGACTGTTCCAATCTCTGCCCATTACCCAGTACCAAAGCTGCTTCCACATTTTCAGGTATCTTTATAGCAATATCCCACTCCTGGTACCAATTTTCTGTATTAGTCCATTCTCACACTGCTATAAAGAACTACCTGAGGCCAGGCGCAGTGGCTCACGCCTGTAATCCCAGCACTTTGGGAGGCCAAGGCAGGCAGATCACGAGGTCAGGAGTTCCAGACCAGCCTGACCAACATGGTGAAACCCCATCTCTACTAAAAATACAAAAATTAACCAGGCATGGTGGCATGTGCTTGTAATCCCAGCTACTGGGGAGGCTGAGGCAGGAGAATTGCTTGAACCCAGGAGGTGGATGTTGCAGCCAGCCAAGATCACGCCACTGCACTCCAGCCTGGGTGACAGAGCGAGACTGTGTCTCAAAAAACAAACAAACAAACAAACAAACAAACAAACAACAACAAAAACCTTCAAAAACCAAAAAAACTACCTGAGACTGGGTAATTTATTTTTATTTTTATTTTTGAGAGGGTATCTCGCTCTGTCATCCAGGCTGGAGTGCAGTGGTGTGATCTTGGCTCACTGCAACCTCTGCCTCCTGGGTTCAAGCGATTCTCCTGCCTCAGCCATCCAAGTAGCTGGGATTACTGGCACCTACCACCATATCCAGCTAATTTTTGTATTTTTAGTAGAGACAGGATTTCACCATGTTGTCCAGGCTGGTCTCGAACTCCTGACCTCAAGTGATCTGCCTGCCTCAGCCTCCCAAAGTGCTGGGATTACAGGTGTGAGCCACCGCACCCAACCAAAACTGGGTAATTTTTGAAGAAAAGAGGTTTAATGGACTCACAGTTTGGCAGGATGTACAGGAAACTTGGCTGAGAGGCCTCAGGAAATTTACAATAATGGTTCAAGGTAAGGGGGAAGCGAGGGCATTTTCACATGTTGGAGCAGGAGGAGGAGAGAGTGAAGGTGGAAGTGCTATGCACTTTCAAACAACCAGATCTCATGATAACTCACTCACTATCATGAGAACAGCAAGGAGGAACTATGCCCTCATGATTCAATCATCTCCCACCAGGTCTCTCTTCCAACATTGGAAATTACAATTCAACATGAGATTTGGGTGGGACACAGAGCTAAACCATGTATCTAGCCCTCCTTTTTGCTTTATTCTTCTTTCTAGCATTTATAACCATTCATCAATCTATGCAGTCTACTGCCTCTCTCTAGAATGTGAGCTCCATGAAGGCAGGGATTTTTGTCTGGTTTGTTTACTGCTTTGTTCCCTGTGCCTAGAAGAGTGCCTGGCAAATAGTGGATATTCAATAAATACTTTCTGAATAAACGAATGGGCGAATCAAGACCAAATGCCTCCTTCATTTTTTTTCCTTTAATCATTCAATAAATTCTAGTTGGAGGATGGATTGGAGGGGGGAGTGGAAGGAGGGCTGAATAATTAGAATGCAATTCTGATCTCTGGGCCTCTGTTTCCCCATCCATAAGACAAAGAAGCTAAGGAGGAGACCTCGAAGGACTCTTTCAGCCCCACTATTCTATGTATTTAAGAGTATTTACCGGTAGAAATACTTGGGAGATAAAATTAATCCTCTCCTTAATCAACGGTTCCTATCTCTGCACGTGACTTGTCAGGGGAAGTTTTCTCTGATGCTCACACGATGTGGGAACTTGTCACATCTTCAATCTCCGGGAACGTCCTCACCTGAAATTGAAAGGTAAATATTTCAGTTGTGAGTCTCTCTGTCATGACTCAAATAATTTTAAAATTGCTTAGATGTCTTTGCCTAACAATGTTCAGATTGTTCTAATGCAGGGGAAAACGGTAGTTTTAGACATAGTAATATTGATAGCAGCTAGTAATTTCCATGTACTTCTCACAGTTATTGGCACTGTGAGGATTACCAAGGAGAACTTTTTACTTACTAAAAAGACATTCTATGTTGAGGGCCCAGCATGGTGCCTGGCAATAGAAGATTCTCACTAGATGGTGAGTTTTGCAATAATTATTTCCATGGAGTTGGGTTGAGAAATAGCCATGCTTCTCTCCAAGACGCTATAAAGTCATCAGGCATCTCAGCTGTTAGGGATTTTATCCCTAGAAGACCTTTTTAGACAGACAGCTCAGAGTTGGCACAATCTCCCCCTCATTCTTTCAGCAGATAGTCTCCAGTGGCTTCATGAGAATCAAACTCCATCCCTGCCTCCAAGTAGCTCCCTATCAAGTCAGAAGGACAATATAATGTGCAAGAAATACCAGTTAATGGGTGTCAATACAATAGTAAGGGAAGGTTCTGGGTGTTGCCCTGAGTTTTTAGAAGATCAAAGAAAGATGTTTCAAAAACTGTACCTTGAATCAAGCACGAATTTTGTTTTGTTACCTTCACTTACCAGTCCTAAAAGAAAAAGAAAAAATATCTAAGTTAGTAAGAAATTGTCAACATCTAAAAGGCTATAGTTTTTTTTTTAATGTGGTTATTCTTATTGTCTGTTTCCTTTTTAAGGCCAGGGAATTTTATTTTATTGTGTTAACTGCTTTGTCCCCAGCATCTAGAACCATGCTGGGTGCATAAGAAGTCCCAAATAAGTATTTGTTGGCAGATGGACTAGAACTGCCCAGTCTAGGCCACTGTGAAGAAGAAATAAAAGTGGGCCCAGTCAAGAAAGAAGCTGGAAGAGACTCCAAGGCCCATAGGCCAGTGGGATTCATAGTGATGGGGGGAAGTTGGGAGAGGGAGGAGAAAGGGTTGCAGAGATTGGAGGGGTGGCAAGATCCCAGGAAGCTTGAACTCCAGGCTAGGCATCTTGCCCTATGTTCTGAGGCCCTGGAGGGACAGTGAAGGATTTTTTTTTTTTTTTTTTTAGTGAAGGATTTTAAGCTTCAGCGAGGCCTGCTTAAACTCCTATTCCATGACCTTGTCTTTCTTTTCAAGGTTTCCAAGTTTCTTTTGTGTTTCTTGCTTTATTTGACATGTCTAGTCCTATTTGGGAGTTGTCTTGGCCAGCTGAAGTCTTTCGGTGAGTGGGAGGGATCCAGTTATCTGCTCTTCCCTTCCCCGAATCCAGTGTAACCTAACTCAAGCCCACATTTCTTCCTATAATTAAACTCAAACTCCAGCTAAATTGGGCAAATATTTTAAAATGACAACTCAAAAGGATGTTTTAGTAATTGTGTGATAAAGATGTCAGATCTTTGTCATTTCATTGCAGCAGAAGGCCATTTGGGAGGGAAGTCACTTTTTGAGATTTTAATAACGTGTGCAATTCTTGATATATATAAAAATGATGACAACTGGATGCCAGTTTCAGAGAGGATAGATCCAGCTTTGGTTTGGTGTGTCTGTGCTATCTGCCTTGTCTCAGGATCTTCTTTAGTTGATATTAACAAAACTCTTTATATTCATTGACAAATATTTATTAAGCACCTATGAGGTTTCAGACACTGTGCTAGTTGCTGAGGCCGGGGAGTCAGTGTTGGCAAGAATCTAGGTCTTTGCCATCATGGACTTTTTAGTCTAGTAGGGAAGATATGACACATGGCCATAAGATCACCACAGCAAAAACAGCTGTCTTAATTTACTATGTGTGATTTACATATATTTTCTCATTTAACTCTCACAGTAATCCATGTGGGTTGTCATTTTTGCCCCTATTTTACAAGACAAGAAAACCAACTGTCATATGGTCAGTAAGTGGTACAGTCAGGATTTGAGCTTAGGTCTGACCCCAACCCCATGTTCTTTCCATAATGCATGTGTCTTTTTTTAGAGCAGAGCTGGAGTACGTATGTGGGATGGGGATAGGAGAAGGCCAGGAATACAGTATATCAGGAGTCCTTAGAAAAGAAGAAAGAGCAAATGGAAAGTGGAAACTGGCTAACATAAGGAATGGGGAAATTGAAAGAAATAGAATTGTTGGTCTGCTTTGCAGGTGGTCAAATCACCAAGTTCCAGGAGTCTAAGGGCTTTATTTTAATGAAAGCAAGGCCCAGTGTTTTAGGGTTTCTGTCAAAAGACAGTGGTGTTGAGGTGCAGTGGAGCCCCAGACTGTCTATCCTCAGTAGAGAGAGTACTCTGAAAATGGCATTGACATAGGGAAAGGCCTTGGATAATGAGAACAGATTCCACGCAAGGGTTAGGCAAGAGGGGGAGAGAATATGAACAACTGACTAGCATACTCTTGTAAGCATTTACTGATTTCCCCTGGAGTTGCATGCAGATTCATTCCACTATCATTGACACTAGTTGCATATCGCACACATGCCTCTCCATGGATATGACCCACTCACTCTGTGGTAATCATAAGGTTGTCCACAGGGATCTCACTTATCTTCCCCTTTCAGGCACGTTTCTGCTCCCTTGTATTTAGGCATGCCCATATGACTTACTTTAGCTAGTTACATGACTGGAAGTAATACCTGCAGAAGGTAGCTTTAAGAACCAGTGCAAGATTGTTCTCTTTCCCCTGCTGTGGTGAAAGCCACTGTCAGTCAAGATAAAGCCTCCATAATCCTGGGTGCCTGAGTGACTGCAATGAGCAAGGCCTCCCTGGTGATCCACAATGGATATCTCATGAGAAATGCACCTTTGTTGTTTTAAGTCATCAAGACTCTGGAGTTATTTGTTATTGTAGCATGACCTAGCTAATTCTGACTGATATACACTCAGTCAGATTTCAGGGGGAAGATACTAAGTTCTGTTTTGGACATGTCAAGTTGACATGTCCAAAAGTACCTGTTGACATCCAGTTGAAGAGGTCTAATGGATACCAGAAACATAGGTTCAAAGGTTGAGGCTGAAGATACAGTCTCTCTGGTTCATTCAGTCAACCATCCATCAATCTACCCATTTATATTCATTTATTTAGTAAAAATTTTATTGATCCTCAACTATGCAGCAGCCATTTTACCCCACTGGCTAATGGGAATAAAGCAGTGAACAAGATCAAGGTCCCATTCCAATGCAGCTTAGTTTCTACTGTGGCAAACAGACTCTCTCTCTCTGCCTCTCTTTCTCTCTGTGTATATATATATATATATATATATATATATATATATATATATACACACACATATATATATACACACACATCTATATATATACATCTATATATACATCTATATATATACATCTATATATATACACCTATATATGTATAAAACTATATATATATGTATAAAACAACAGTAGTGGTGGGACAGGCAGTGAGAAGTGGTCAGATTTGGGGTTAGTTTTAAAGGTAGTTTGCTGATGGGTTGATGAATTAGATGTGGGAGATGAAGAAAGAGAGAAGGTGTTACTGTGAAGTCACTCATTCACTTTGGTGCTCCACCTCCATCTCATCTGCAGGATAACAAACCCTAGCCGGGAGATGCTATGGGACTTCCATCTTAGCACTTGCACACTTGGGGTCATCCTCAGGGAGCCACTTCATCCCTAGTCCTTTTCTCTCTGTTCATCTTGATTTTCTTTTTTCTGGGCTGCTCATATTTACCTTTGCCTCCTCCAAAGTATTTGTGAACTCCCTCATGCTTTTCCCAAGACATCATCTCCATGGGTTTCTGACCAGAACTTACACTGGTGGAGGTGAAGAGGGATGGTAGAGGTGCCACTGTTATAAAACAAAAGGGGCTTGCTGCCCGATGTGTTGGAAGCCAATACTATGACATCGACTTTTTTTGAGAAAAGAAAAGCTTTGTATTGAGAGTTGACTCCCAAGGAGATAGGAGTCAAGCCCAAACCTGTCTCCCTGTGCTGGCTTTAAGGCAGTATTTTTACTAGAAAAGGCTCAAGGGGGTGGATTCTGAGATTAGCAAGTAGGTGATCGGTGGAAGGAAAAGGGAGGTCGGGAAATTCCTTGGGCATGCACAATTATGTCTTCATGCTAACTCATGGGTTGCATGTGCAAATTCGGGAGGAGTTGGTATGAAATGTGGTGGCTGTGATGTCAGCAAGGTCGCTCTGCGCAAGCTCCAGTTGGGCATCTTGTTTCCAACTGATTTCAGTCTGTTCTTTCATCTCATAAGAGGAGGGAGTTTCAGTATTTTTTGACAGGTTGTTTCTTTTCTTATCTGCCATCCTGAAAACTAAGAATTTCTGTTAGTCTTTGGTTTATTTAACTCTTTGGGACATGTCTCACCACCATGAGTCACTGCTGTAGAGAGAATTTCTGAGAAGGCTCACAGTAAGGACCAAGCGCTGCTGGGCCACTGGACTCTCCTTCCCTTCAGGCTCCCAGGAGCTTCTGGCTGATCTCTCTATCCTTCACACAGTTTGGGGCCACCCTTGGTGACAACGCCCCCTACAGAAAGAATCCAAGGACAACTGACATTTCAGAGACAAGATTTAGAATCTAGAAATTCTTACTATTTGGTGGGATGTGTATGATAAGGGAGAATGGGGAGTCAAGGGCAAAACCCAGATAAAATGGGGATAATTGAAGGTGACAGTCCCTGACATGAGAACACCTCAGGAGGCAGATTTCAGGGGGAAGATACTAAGTTCTGTTTTGGACATGTCAAGTTGACATGTCCAAAAGTACCTGTTGACATCCAGTTGAAGAGGTCTAATGGATACCAGAAACATAGGTTCAAAGGTTGAGGCTGAAGATACAGATTTGTGCATCAGAATACAAACTGTACTTATAGTCATGGGATTGGGTAAAATTTCCCACAAAAGGTAAGTATAGACACCCAAGAAACTGTCTATAAAGGAATTTGAGAGAGAAGTTTTCCAGGAGAAGTCTAGAAGGAAGAGCTGGAGATCCAGCAAGGTGGTCTTTTGTTTGTTTTTAAGATGGAAGAGGTTTGAACCTTCTATAAGAAGACAGGCAAGTGAGAGAGGCTAAAGGGTTTCATTCATTCACTCATTGTTACCCATGCAGCTCTCACTGATGTTGAATTTATTCCTTCCTATTATTCAATTGAACAGACATTTTTAAGTACCCACTGAGTGCTCTGTGCTAGATTCTAGTCCCTGTCCTAAAGTCAGAGGATGGGGATAGAATGCCCATTGCTATAAGTTCCATATTATCACTCAAGGTTTGCAGTGCGTGAGGGACTGCTTTTAAATGCCATCTTGTAGGGACTTGTTGGGCAGTAGAGATTCTTGCAAGGCCTGAGCTTAGGAGGGCCTAGAATTATGGTTTGCAGAGAGAGACATATTTCAACCACAGATAGTGTCTGTCCTCTGGGGCACCCATAGAGACAGTTAAACTATGTGACATGAGGTAAATACAAGCAGTTACTAGATTTATAGCTAAGTTTGAATAACCAATCCACTCCGCTTTTAGTTGGAGTTTTAGTTGGTTAGTTTTGTCAAACCCACAATAAAACCCTGGGGTGGACCAAGAGAGTGAGCCACTCTAGTCCTTGGCTTTCTATATAGCAGGAGGTGCAGACCTTGGAATCTGGAGGAGTCTCTGGTGGCCCTCCCTTGGCCTTTAAATTTCACCCCACCCTCTCCCTCTCCTGAGGCTTTCTGGGCCTCATCTCTGTGCTGAATGCAAAAATGACCACACTTGGCATTCAAGACTCTTCATGACTTCGCTCCTGCTTACTTCTCCAGCTCCCCGATGTCTCCCAGTACCTTTCTCCCTTCTCTCTCGGTTCTTTTGCCACGCTGGCCATCTGTTGTTTCCTAGAACCCATTAAGCTCATACCTACCTCTGGGCCTTTACATCAATGTTCTTTTCCTGGCTCTTTCCACAATGTCTCATTCCGTCTCATTTCAAAGTCATTTCCTCAGGGAAAAGAGAACCCCTCTGTTGTTTTCTAAGTAGAACCTCTCAGTTATCTTATTCCATAGCACATTTTTCTTATCCCTTATCACAATCTGTAATAATTATTTTATTTATTCAATGAACAGCTGATTAATTTAGTTATACCTTTATTTGGCAAATATTTATTGAGTACCTACTAAGGGCTAGGCACTCTTTTAGGAGCTGAAGTTATAATAGTAAGCAAAATAGATACAAATCTGTACACAATGGGGAGACTTTTTAGAGAATAGTAGGAAAAAATGGAAGTAAGTGTGACTCTAAGAGATTTGGCCTGAGTGACTGAGAAGATAATGCTTCCATTTGTTGAGATGGAGAGAGCAGGTTGGCTGGAAAGGGCAAAAAGAAATTGGGTGGGTTTTTTTTGTGGGGGTGGGGGGCAAGTTTGAGATGTCCTTTAGGTAGCCAGGTGGAAATGTATACTAGACAGTAGAACATATGTCTCCAGAGTTCAGGAGATAGGTCTGTGCTAGAAATATATTTAGAAGTCATTAGAACATTAATTGTATTGAAAGCCACGACATTAGATGAGTGACCATGGGGAGTGACTGTAGTTAGAGAAGAATTCCTAGAACTCAGTCTCCAACAGTTAGAGGTCAAACAGAGGAGGTGACTGTGGGATGGCCAGAAAGGTAGGAAGAAAATATGCCAAATGGGGAGTCCCGGAAGGCAAGTAAAGAAGACTTTTCAAGGAGGAGAAGGTGATTGGCTGAGACAAATACAGTTGCAAGATTGAGTACCACGAGGACTGAGACTTGCCATTTGGATTTGGCAATGGGGAGATCACTGGTGACTTTGACAAGAGCAGTTTGGGAAGAGTAGTGGGGAAGCAGATCTTACTAAAGTTCAAGGGAGAATGGGAAAAGAGAAATTGGGCAGTGAATATCACTATACTTTAAGAAGTTTTCTTGCTGAGGGAAAATGAGAAATGGGGTAATAATAGGAGTTACGGTAAAGAGCGAGTTTTTTTTTTAAGATGGGAGAAGTAAAAGTATGTTTGTATGCTTATGGGAATGACTCAGTAGAGAGGGAATAATCTAACGATGCAGGATAAGAGAGGAGAACTGCTGGATCTATGTTCTTGAGTTGGTGAGGGGTGGGATTTAACACACAGGTAGAAGAGCAATGGACAGCTCATCCATGGTAACAGGAGAGAAGGGGGAGCAGGGGGCTAGTGGGAGTTCTCTTCTCATTACTTCAATTTCCAGTGAAATAGGAAGCTGGGTCTTCAGTTGAGAATGAAGATGAGGGAGATGAGGGAGGTGTTAGAGGTTCGAAGAAAGAGGAGAAAGTAGGAAAATACCATCTAGGGGAGAGGGAGAGTGATTGAACTAGAGAAATACAGTGTGAGCTTCAGGCAGTTTTAGGGCCCACGCAAGGCTGCTGGTCACTAACGTAAAGGGAGTCTGGTCAGCATGAATATGTGTTTTTCTCTTGCAGTGCATGTTCAGCCGTGAGGGTGCAGGTACACAGTAGATGGAGAGCTTTGGTTGAAACAAAAGAATACAATGAACTGAGGGAGGGGTGAGGAAAATGAAAGTGTACACAAGGGAAGGATGATATGTTTTATATGGAATTTAAACAGGGTAGAAAGGGAAGTGAGGACATGGTGGTGGTGAGGGACAGTAAAAGTGAGTTGAAGGTCCCAGGAGGGTTGAAGGGTTATTTTGAGTCAGGATAGTAAAGGGAGTGAGATAGGAAGTAGGTATTGACAAGAGGATGCTTGCCATTGAAATTAAGCTATTAAGCCCTACGGGAGGAGCAGGAAGGGAGTAACTGCGGTGGAAGGAGGAGTGTAGGTTGAGGAGCCGAGGTGTTGGAAAGATTGTCTTTGTGCATATTGAAATCATCAAGAATTATGACAGATGTAGTTTTGAAATCTTTGTGTGGTTTGGGATAGTATTTATGGGATATAAGGTATGTGTCTGGCACACAGTGAATTCTCAATCAATGCAGTTTAGTCAGTTATTTGTCTAATATTTGTTCAGGGCCCTGGGACTTCTCCCTCAGCGGCTTCCAACTTGTGGAGTGTTGCAGCATTGCATGGGGGATGGGGGTGGGGTTGGGAGACACAGCTGCGTCAGGAGCCTGGGCTCAAAGGTCCCTGCTGCTGGGATTGCCCCATACACAAGGGTCTGGGCCCCTCTTCTGGCTTCCGGCTGGGCTCCCACCAGAGCTGCATACGTTTGGCTCAGCGGCAGCAGCAGCAGATGGCAAAAAGTGGGTGGGCTGGGGGGTATCTGCAACTGATCCCACAGCCGCCGGATTAATGAGGCCTCATGCCCGCCTTCTTTTCTGCAGCATGCCAGCCAACAGTAGCTTCCTTTGCTGGGGTGGGTTTGTTTGTGGGAAATTTTTTGGCAGTGAAAGCCCAGCACCTGATTGAAAACTTCCTCTCCCCCTCATTTCTCCTTCTATCCTGGCTTCTATACTGGTTCTAAAGTACTCTGGGGCCTCAAGCTTGTCCCTGGGGTTCCTCCTGGTGTCAGGCTGATGAAACTGAGACCAGGTAGTCCTGCTATTACATTTACTGTTGGGGAAACTGAGACTTGGAGAATTTAATTATTCATTCAGTAGCAGGAAGCTCAGGACTCTATGTACATTTCATGCCCTCTCATGTCTAGCTACATCCCTGGGTTGGCATAGACCCCGTGAGTAAGAACGTGGATGGTTCATATTGGAGGATGAGGCATATATAAGCCTATTTGATGGGTATTGAGGTCATGGGGACAGGGGCATTGCATGGGAATCCAGATTATAATAAGGATAATGGGGACTCCTGGGAAAAAAAAATTAGGTGAGGAGAAAGTCTAGCACTGAGGACCACAGTAGCAAATGGGTTCAGGGCTAAAGAGCACTATTTGTAGGCATAGTGTAAAGCTCTTTTTAGCCTTCTCTGACCGGGCCCTGCCAGCAAATATATATTTTACTGAGTCATTAGGGATCCAAGCAACTCTGTGGTAGAACTGTTCCTTCCTTATCAAAATGGGATAAAAGAAAGGAAAGGTGGATCTTTGATGACAAGCAAGAGTGAGAGAGCAAGAGGGCGGGTTGGAGAGTTGGGGAGAGAGACAGGAGCTCTAGAGATGTGGAGGTGGGCAAAGATGTTGAGATATTGTAGTCAGTATGATGGCAGGAACTGAGGCTCCAAGGAGCACTGGGGGTCAAAGATAGATCAGTGCTACTGGATGGGTGGCCCAAGAGGAGTCTTAGATGCATGGCAGACTAATGCAGGCAGCAATAATTTGATGAAAATCTGGAGGCAGGTGGTTATGGAGCTTCTGGCAGTGGAGACACGTGGAGGAACGTTGGAAATCTCAGTGCATAGGCAATGGTCAAGTGGGATAGAGCAATAATCAGACTTTGAACCAGAGAGAGAGAGTTGTGTAACATTTTGTTACACAGCAGTACACACACGAAAATGTTTGTATGGCCCAGCAGGGTAGAGGGATGGGCTGTTTGGGGCCAGAGATGAATGGCTTGGGGACTCTAACAGCACAGGGCCCCACCTGTCTGATCAGAGGGTTGAAGAAATAAATTAAGCACATTAATAAAGAATGTGTTCATTTGTTGGGAAGCTCTTCAGTAAGGAGTGTATTTTTCTCAAATAATAAGATGTTCAGAGGAGATAATCCAGGGGCTATTGCAGCCTAGGGACACCATTGAGGGCATAGGCTTTCCAGGTGTTTCTAGTCTGCCATTCATGGTTTTTGTCTGTTCCTTCATAGTTGCAATATGGCACATGCAGCTTTAGATATCACACCAGCATTCCAAATGGGAAGAATGGAGAGGGAAAAGAAGGCAATGGCAAAGGGAAAACAGTGTGCCAGTTGAGTTTGCTCCCATTTAGGGAGCTTTCCTAGAAGACTCACAAGGGACTTCTTACTTCTCATTGGCCAGAGCTGTGTGATGTGAAAGATGTTTTGTAGCTAGACATTTTGTTGCCCTAAAAAAATCAGGATTCTGTTAGTAAGGAAGAAGAGAGTTAATAGGAGTAGGCCTGTGACAAGCACTGTGTTGTATTCGGGGAACAGGTAGTAATTTTGCAGAGCTGGACCACAAACTGTGAGGCAGGAAGAGGAAGGGGATGAGGCTGGTTAAGCCGCCAGAGCCTAGATGATACAGGGTCTTGTAAGTCATGCTCAGGAGTCTGGACTGTATCACCTGGGTAACAGGAATTCACTGATGGGATTTAGGTGGGCCAATGATTTGGCCAGATGAGTGTTTTAGATAGATTGTCCTGACGGAGGGGGTGGGTGGAGTTGCAGAAGGTGAGGAGGAAAGGTCTCGTATAAGGATAGTGTCTGAATCCTTGTACATAGAAGGGATTCAGTTAATAGCCTGTGAATGAGGTGATAAGACTTAAATCAGGATAGTGGCAATAAAGAGGGGAGGAGGGGATGAATTTGAGAAATTTTCAGGAGAATTAAAATTGTTAGGGTTTGGTAATTGATTAGATGGTTGAGGGGAGGGGAGGGAGTTTAGGAATACTCCTGGGTTTCCCACAATTAATTGAGATGTGGAACATAAGAGAAGGAGCAAGTATGGAGTATATAATTTGTTCAGAATCATATGCAAAACTGAACCCAGGAACTGGGTCAGGAACCTAGATCTCCCAGGCCACTGTTCTATTAACCTAATTTACATTCCATATTGTCTCTTCTGGAGCCCAGCATGACAGTTCACTGATATCTTTGGACCCACTGATTTTTCTCCCCCTCCACCATCCACCAAGTCCATGAGATCCAGGAATGATGATGTTAATATGGTGGTGGTAGCTTGCTTCCTGAGGGCCCAGAGTGGTCAGCGTGTGCTAAGAGGGTAGATACAGTGGCCACCATTAACTCTGTTCCTATTCTCACCGATGCCAGGAGCCAGGGAGGGTCTGGACTGAACATTGGCTTCTCCACACAACTATCCTTTTTCTAACTCCTGCTTTATGCTTGGCTGATGTATTAGTTTTCTATTACTCCTATAAAAACTTACCACAAATGTAGTGGCTTAAACAATGTAAACTTATTTTCTTATAGTTCTGAAGGTCAGAGGTTTAAAGTCAAGGTGTTAGATGGGCTGTGTTCCTTCTGGAGGTTTCAGGAAAAAAAGTCAATTTTCTTACCTTTTTCAGCTTCTAGAGGCCGAATGCATTCCTTTGCTTATGGGTCCTTCTTCGCATTACTACAGTCTTCTGGTTCCATTGTTGCTTCTCCTACTACTGACTCTGAATCCTCCCACCTCCCTTTTAAAAGGATTCTTGTGATTACACTGGGGAATCCTGGAAATGGTACCTAACCTGGTCTGAGAGGTAGAGGAAGGAGCTCCAGGGGGGAGGATATTCATGTTGAATTTTGAGGTATGTGTAAGAATTAGCCAGATGAATAATAAGAATGATAGCAATAGTAATAGCAAACATTTATATATATATCCACCTGGATAATCCACAATAATCTCCCCTTAAGATCCTTAACTGAATTACATTTGTAAAGTCCCTTTAACCATTTAAGGTAAAGCAATGGTCTGAATGTGTATGTTCCTTCAAAATTAGTAAATGTAAACCTAATCCCTAATGTTGTATTATTAAGAGGTGGGAACTTTGGGAGGTGAGTAGATCATGAGGGGTCCACCCTTCTGACTGGTATTAGTGCCTTTATAAGAGAGGCCTGAGGGAGCTTGGTCACCCCTTCTACCATGTGAGGACACAGTAAGAAGGTGACAACTATGAGACAGACAGCAAATCCTCACCAAACATCAAATCTACTAGTGCTTTGACCTTGGACTTTCCAGACTCCAGAAATGTGAGCCCTACATTTCTGTTGTTTGTAAATTATCCATTGTAAGTTGTTTTGTTATAGCAGCCCAAATGAGACAGCCAGGTGAGAGGAGGTCCGTGGAGAAACTCTATCCAGCCTGCCCATTTGAGGAGGAGCCTGGGGAAGTTCCCGACATTTGCAGCGGGGAAGAGCCTGGCCCCTCCTCTTCCTGTGTGGGACCCGGGATTCAAATGGCCAGGTGGGAAGTGCTCTAGCAGGGACTCTGGCCTTGTGAGAGTCCCTGTGCCCCCTTTACTTCCACTTCACCCAATAAAACCCTGTCTTACTCACCATCGAAATTGTCTGCCAACCTGAATTTTCATGGCTGTGGGACAAAGAACCCTGTCTTTAGCTGAACTAAGGAAAAGTCCTGCAACACAAATAGACTAAGACAGATACCATATTCACATGCCCTGGGATTAGAATGTGGACATTTTTAGGGGGCCATTATTCAGCCTACCACAGCTGCACACCTTCACTGGCATTCTTTTTGTGAACAATCTTGTACTGATGAATAGGGCACAGTTCTTGCCATTGATGAGCTTATGGTTTAGGGGAGAAGGCATAGAGGTAGACAATAAACTATTCTACAGGGTAAGAGAGGACTTTGGGAACACAGAGAAATGGTTCATAACTTGGTCTGAGAGGTTGAGGAATGAGCTCCGGGGAGAGGATATTCATGTTGAATTTTGAGGCATGTGTAAGAATTAGTCAGATTAATATTAAGAATGATAGCTATAGTAATAGCAAACATTTATATAGTTATTACTATCTGCCAGGTAGTGTTTTAAGCACTTAACACATATTAATGCATTTGACCCTCTCAACACTGAATAAGGCCCTTATAAGAGGCCTTATAAGTACTGTTATCAGTCATCTCTATTTTACAGATAAGTGTAATAGTCAAGGTTCTCCAGAGAAAAAGAACCGACAGGAGATGATAGATTGAAAGATATAAATATATAGGTTAGATATATGAGAGGGGGTTTATTATTTATTATTACTCATCACTATGAGTAAACTGAGGTTGAGAGAAGAGAATCCATTGGCTGAAATGTAGGCACTCCCCATTACTCTTAAGGATCAAAGTCCTTTCTGTGGCTTGCAAGACCCTTGATAATCTGGTCCCTGCTACCATCAGCCCCATTCCCCTCTCCACTGCTGAGTCACTGGGTTCCTCTCAGTCCCTCAGCTGAACATTGCTGCCGTCTACTCTGGCCCTTTGCCCATGCTGTTCCCCTGGCCTGGGATGGGACACACTGTCCTCATCCTTCAGATCTTTGCTCAAATGCCACTGTCTGAGAAAGGGTGTTCCTCCTCCTCAGCCAGGCAGGTGTTGTTGCTCACTGTCAGAACAGCCTGTACTTGACCTTGACAGCACTCACCTCAGCTGTATATAGCTGCTTTTCATCCTCTCATTGTTTCCTCAGTAACACATAATAGGTGGCCAATAAATACTTGCTGACCCTATGAAAAATGTAGGGGCAGAAGAATGTCTAGGAGTCAGCAGGAGGAAGACCATCAGAGACCATCTCATCCCACACCTTCCTTTAACTTCTGGGAAATTGAGAGGGGCAGTGACTTGCCCAACACTACACAGCAAGTCAGGGGCAGAGCTGAGGATTCTGACTCCTGGTCCTGGATCACTTCCATTGTTCCCAGTGGGATGCTCCTTGCCTCACTCCAGTGCCTACCCGTCCAAGTCTGTTCTATCCTTCATGAGACAGCTGATTCCTAAACATGTCTAGGATTCCTTTCATGTTACAGTTCAACCTTACCTCACCCCACAAATTTAGAATTGACTGCTCTTTTCTCTATGCTCCCCAAATACCCTGCAGCTTTGCTCTTGCCCTTCTATACTCTGCTTACACCTGAGCTTTTCCAGCGCAGGCACCATGCCTGATTCCTCTGTCCCCATGGAGGCTGCATGCAGCAGTACAAATATGGTATGTGAGTATGCTGTGATACAGGAAAGCAGAGGGATGTGGGATTATCAAGGAATCCTTAACCCAGCCAGGGTCAAGAAAGGTTTCCAGGAGGCAGTGAATCCTGAGCTGAACAAGCAGGATTAGCCAGGTGGGTGGTGCATGCATGCTTTGAGAAAAATGTGGGTTTGGAGTGGAGGAAAGGGCATTTTAAGGGGAAGAACCCTAATATTTGTGGAATAAGATGAAAACTAGTTACATAGGGTGAAGTGAAGGCAGGACAAGTCAAAACCCTTTTTCTCCCAAGGATTCAAATGAGGAAGTTGAACTGACTTTCAAGGGCTTTCCAGAGCTAAGTAACCAGGCAATGACAAGGCTGATTGTGTGACAAGCAGGGGAGGACTACCCTTTACAAATGGTTTAATTGGATTCATTTCCCATCTTGGCTGAGACTGAACTTTTGACTCTTTCTTATTCCTACAGCCAAGAGGAGTAGGGCTTGGAGATATTTGCCCTTTACCAGATATTTATGAACGAAGGGCCCTCACTTCCTTGCTCAAAAGCCTTCTGGTACTCTGCTTTCCTAAAGATGTTTCCTGCCTCAGCCTGCATGACCAACCCTTTTCCTCTTATTCCTGTGCTCTCCCTTTCCACTGCTGCCCACCTAAGCTCCTTAGTGTGGCCTCCACTCCTTTACCCTGAGGGGAAGTCTCTGTGACTCTTCCATGATGCTCCCAGCGGTCTAATTCTCAGGGGTGAATGAGATGGAGTGGCTGAGTCACTGTAATGGCCAGACACCAGAGGAGGGACCAATAGGGCCTCTGGTTGCTGAGGGCAATCAGAGCTTTTGCTGCCAAGTGGCTGGAGTTACTGTATTTCAAAAGCAGCTTAAGTTCCATGAGGCCAAGTGAGATTCCCAGCAACTTATTCCCACGTGTATTCCTACTATTTCTTCCCTCCCTCACTTGAAGTGACCAAACAGGATTTCTTGGTTCTTTACATTCAGGGGCATCCACTAAACCCACCTCTCCCTGCCAAAGGGCCTGGCCAAAGTTTTCTTCTTCTGGGAACTCTTTCTGGCTATTGTTTAATTCCTGCTACTCTTCAGTCAGTGCCAGGAACTTGGCATATTTTACTTCTAATCCTCCCTTCTCTGATCAGGAATTTCAGAGACATTAAATTTTTGTCCCAGGGACCCAAACCCAGAACTTTTTCACTAAAGCTAGTCCTCTTTCCATCAGGGCAAACTCTCCTTCCTTCCTGGATCCCAGAATACTCCTTGCATTCCCCACAGATTTTCACAATCTGAAATTCTCCCTCCAACACAAAAGTTACCTGTGCTACATCTCTGTGGCCAGATCATTGCTCCACAGGTCTTGTCTTCGTAATAGAACTCTAAATTTCCTTTCCTGCTTTTTTGGTTTTCTGTCATAACCCACTGCACAATTTCATGCACAAAACAGGTATACCAAAAAAAAAAAAAAAAAAGAAGCTAGACATGTTTATTTGTTGCCGTGCCCCTAGCTCAGTATCTGGCATATGGCAGGGGTTCAGAGTAAGGATTCTAGTGTAGACAAGGCTTAGACTGATTCCCCTCAACCCCCACCCTGCCATACCTCACACCTAGGCAGATGATCAACAAATGGTGTCACATTGAAAGCCAGCAATATGGTTTAGCAGAAAGACATTGTATTGGAACCGGATGACTTTTGTGCAAATTCCCACTCTGCAACATGCTGTGTAACCTTAGGCAAGGTATTTAACTTCTCTGTTTTTGTTAGATGTAAAATGAGGATTACTTTATATGCTTCCCAGGATTGTTCTGAGGATTCAGAGGCAATACAGATAGTGAAAGGAGTGGCCACTATGGTGCTATTGGTCCACACAATGGACCCATCTGTGTGTCATAGTGGGAGCTATCACTTGGGGAGACCCATGGGGCCAGCTCTGATGGTCCTTAAGTTGGCTTGTTAACATTCTTACCTGTCTGTCCTATCCTCAACTCCTTTCTACCTCAATGATTTGTGGTGGTTAAAATAGACCTATTAACAAACTAATTTCATTTTTAAATACTGCAGAGCAACAGTGCTTAAAAACTATCACTTTTAGTTATTCTTTGTTAATTTGCTTGTAAACCATTGATATTTGGTCTGTTTTTCCATTAAAGATTTGGGGAGAGGGTTAGACTCAGGCACAGTACATGAATGTAATTTCCTTTATTTCCTACATAATAGGACTCATCTCACCTTTAGTTGAAGTGTGGACCATGTGGTAATTATTTTGGCTCTAATTCTAGCATAATGGACTTGGAGCCACGGTGTGTAACTGGGGATCTTGGGGATCAGACAGACCTGGTACTTACACACCTTCACAAAATACCTAATCTCTCTGAGTTTCTTTCTGTTCAATGTAAAAGGGGGATGATACCCCTCACTAACGCTATATACATATAGAGTGCCTGCCATAGGAAAAACTTAATAAATGCCAGTGGTCTTTCTAGAAACAATTTCTTAAACCTTAGGGACCTTGCCGAAAATTGTTTGAAATAATTACATGGCATACTGGAATGTCATGTGAGTCCACTTTGCATTTGAACCACTAGTAGATTAAGCTGAACTCGCATAGAAAAGCCTTCTGGGAATTAACCTGGGGTTGGGTGATTTTAAACCAGTTTTCATTCTGTTGCAGAAACAAAAAGGATGAGACGGGAAAAACGCTATTCCTTTAATTGAAGGAACACTTTTATGTTCTCAGGTCTATTTTAATCTTAAGTGCTGATTATGTATCATTCTCTCCTGTTAACAGACACTTCTGTAAGTGATCTGCACAGAGAGAAATATGATTCTTACATAAATACTGTACCATGAGAAATTATCTTATTACCTAATACGCCAAAAAGCTAATAAGATAAGGGAATGGTACGAGTCATTTCTGGACAATATTAAAACTTGATTTCAGCTCATGGAAATAAAATGTAATTTCCTTTTATTATTCTCTTCTTCAGGTAGAACAAAGGCAGTCAAGGGTGCAAGGATATTAGAAGCTGTGTTCTGTGAGCTTTCATGAAGGCTGTGGAAGGATCCAGGCAGGATGGCCTCAAATTAAGATTTTAATGACTCTTTGGTTTAGAAAACACACTCTTGCTGTTAACGCTATCTTATCAGGTATCATTTTTGAATTCACAGATGAAAGTTAAAAAATTCATAATTATACAAATACTTGCCTTGTATGTTTGCCTGTGTGTGTCTGTTAAGGAACAAATGCATAGTGCCTACAGGAAGTAAGGGCAAAATAATTTCAAGGACTGGGAGTTTCCGGAATTACCTATGGCAAAGGAAATTGTGTGCTGCATTTTGACAAGGTTAAAAGTATCTACACCCAAATAGTGACTCAAGGAGAGTATGGGCGCCACAAGACCTTGTGAGTTTCAAACGTACATTTAAATGTTATTCTTTGGGGGTTAAAATGTTTTATTTACAAATGAACAAAGGTTGATTGATCTTGATAAACAGGACCCCAGGTGATCAAAATTTCTGGCAGTAACCATCATTTGGTCAGTGTTTGATCTTCGGTAATAGAAGTAAGTAAAGTTTTGATGTTGATGGTGATGATGTGGGGTGGTTTTAGACACAAACACATTTTTTTCACTCCTCCTATCACGTTGACAAAAATAACACTAAGTAAATGCCGTCAGCTTTCTATGACATGCAATTTTTCAACCAAGCAAAATACAATGTACCTAGGACCTCAAAGAAATGTAATAATCTCAGTATTCTTGTGATTTGTTAGACGTTTTCCACAAACACCTACAGAAACTATATATGTTTGCCTGGAGATTTAAGGTAACAGGCTTATATTCGCAACAAGATGAATTTTTTATTAGATGTTAGGCAGACACATTGTGCTGATGCTAGAAAGTGTTTCTGAGAGAGTATATGCAGAATGTCTTCTATGGACATTGTCAAGACCTATTTAAATACCTACATCTATTTGTAAAACTTTCTGCATAGATCTGTAGGAGGAGGCTAGTGAATGAACTTTATGAACTGGGAAGATTCTACTAACTTTGGATATTCCAAAATAATGCAGCCGTCCATTTAAAGTACACTAAAATGGCACCTTTAAGGAGCAGGGGTGGTGATGACTGGCAACTATCATAGGTTTGGCAGCAACATTTTTAGACCTACAAACACGGTTGTAAAGCTGTGTTATCCCTGTAGGAAACTGTTCTTTTGAATGTCCATTTTTTTTTTCTCCAGAAAAGAAACGTAGGGACTTGTCTTTAAGATAAAACTATAATAAGAACCTTTAAGTTCAACTATATGAGGTTTAGCCTGACTTAGAAGTTTAATATTTAGCTTGGTTAATTAAATCTCATTCTTTGCCCTGAATTTAATTATTCCAACTAATGTGGTAACTTAATATAATAATAAAAAAGAGGTTAATTAGAAATAGAAGAGAATCTGACTATTTGTTCATCTGGCTCAGTGGGGGCATTTCATGAAGTGTCAGTTTATGGATGGCAATGTTTTATAGAGTATAAATTTTCAGTTAGTGAGGAAATGAAAATGAAAGACAGTAGATAATCAGTGAGTGATTGTATCAGGAAATCACTAAAAAGCTAATCTGTAAAGTTCAGGGCATATTTTAATGTGACTTCATGATAATGTAGGCAGTATTTTTCTCCCTAGGTTGAGCTTAAATCATGTTCTTTAGACACATTATGAGTAATTCCTTGTTTTGAGTTTCTATTCAAAGGTAAGAAAGCCAAATATTTCCTACTTTTAAACAGAAATGAGTGCTAAAATAAAAAGATGACCTTTCTTGCTTAGCTGTCACTTTCAATACAAATGGTCTGCTTTCTTAATATTTCTTAATGCTCAAGTTCTGCGACCTTAATGCTGAGGTGCTGTGCAGTGGAATCAGACTTGGATTCAAATCCCAGCTGGAAATTTGCTTATGGTGTCAAGTTACTATTCTTATTGAGTCTCAGTCTTGTCATCTGTGAAATGAGGATAAGGTTGTCTACACTCCTCGGGTTGCTGAGGATAAAGTGAGAGAATATAGAGGATACCATACAGCCTGCCCGTTACATAATAGGTGCTCTGCAAATGGTGGCTCCCTGTCCTCTGAACAAGTCACAAGCCTTCTTATAAATGAATAACAGGTGCTAATGTATCATAACACCAAAGGTAAGGCCAAGTGTTCTGGCTTATGAACCAGGGCAGTGCTCCTTAAACTTGAAAGTACCAGTGATTCATTCACCTGGGGATCTGGTTAAATGCAGATTCTACATTTCTAACAAGCTCCCAGATGATGCTGATACTGCTGGTTGGGGACCACCACACTTTTAATAGCATGGAACCAGAACAGTGACTTCTGAATATCGAGCTGACTTTAAGAGACTGGGCTAAGCTGTAAAATAAAATTTTACTCTGCCTTTTCTTTTCCCTGGTTTAATGATAAAAATATTGGGGAAATCTGAAGATGGTACAGAAAAAAAGTTTAAATAAACACATTTAAAAATTTGGGAAGTCAAATCCATTCTACACACTTTCATTTATTGTCTGGACAGATAAAGTACAAATAATTCAAACACAACAAGATTATGAAAAAAAAACATTTACAATACTTTCCCTTGGAAATCATCTAAACTAGCAAGATTAACATGAAGTCATTCATTAATAACTAAAGTATACAACTGCCTGGTCCTAAGATTTTTTTTCCTTTTTTTTTCCCCCAAGATTGAACACATTATAGAGAAGATTTTGGCATGCCTTTCCCACTAATGCTTAGCAAATGCATCAAAACTTTGCCAGCAAACTACGTTCATTCATAGCAGGTGACGTAAAAAGCTTTCCCTGAATGTTGAACGAGTGTTCTCTGAACTGAAATCTGGTGTTATATCCAAAACCGAAAAGAGGAAAAAAAAACAGAAAAAAAATTTAAAGGAGGAGTCTATGATGCAGCCTTGGTATTCGTTATCTGTCTACCACTACAACGACTACTACAAAGTTTGCCTTTTCAGTGTGAAAACAACAGTCCTGTCTACATGCACTTAGTGGGTTCAGCATGGGAAAAAATGCACAAAATAAGCACAAGTTATAAATAACCATAACGTTTTATTACCATTAAGACTAAACTTGTATTGAAAAGATTTTATATAACAAGACAAGAAAAGCAATAGCAAATTTAACTATCAACTAGATTATGCATAGCGAGTAACTGTTTCTATTACCCAGGGAAGAGCATGAACCCTTGTATTTTTTTGTTTTGTTTTCGTTTTAAATATATAACCGTACAAAGCACAAACATACTAAAATGATCAGTGCACTGGACGTGGGAGAGTGCTCCCTCAGTCATTTTGTTCCCTTAGCTCTGTTTTGTTTTCCCCAATCTGAGTTACATTAAAATAAAGACTCAGTTGTTTTTATTTTTCTACTGTGCAGTAAGAAAAAATATTCACAACAAACATGACAATATATCAAAGAATAGTTCTACACAAGTTACCTTGATACCTCTTTAACTGTCACTTAAATATCATAAGAAAACATTTTAAGACATATACAAACAAAACTAGCCAAGTGTTACAACTTATAATAAATTAACCCAAAGAAAAAATAACTTTATATATATATATTTATATTGTATATACACATACACACACAACAGAATGACACAATAATATGCTTCTTCCCATAGTTTAAGTAAACAAATAAGTAGTCTAGCCAATCTAGCTATATTTGATCTCGGCCATAGGCATCATCACATCGGCGATTAAATAAATAAGTGTTTCAAGCAACATAAACAGTGTTTCAAATGTACCAACACAGCCCAATTCTATCAGCATGGGCTACAAAGTGAATTTGAAAATTTCTTAATGAATTTAAAGCAAATGTATCTTTTGTTTTCCTCTCCTAAACACATTACATTTAACTATGATACTAAGATATGTAAATAATTTTGTAGCACCTACTGCTCAAACTAAGGAAGTTTTAGATCAAAAGGAAAATTAATCTTTTTAATTTTTGTTCTGCTGACATCCCATACTGATGACTTAAAGAAAAACTGTCTTTCAACTCATCTCCTTGCTTTTGGGTTTTGACTGTGGGGAACTGTGGTACCCTGGGTAGAACGAACACTCCTTTCCCCTAGTAATTAATAATTGTTTTTTAATTATTATTACATGCTATGAAAAGATATGAAGATCATCTGTTTATAGCCCATCCTTCAAAAAACAGTCTACGAATCCAGTTTAAAACACACATCTTGATCTCTAAAAAGTTACCAGTGCAGTATGAACGCGACAAAGTTGTCAATTTCCCCTAAATTAGCCAGTCAAAATATTTTTTTCTCAAATCCAGATTCTCTTGTAAAAATTCTTTATATTTTATAAAAATAGATTTTTCTTGAAACCCATTTTCAGCAAAGAGACCACCTCTTTGGCAACAATGTTAATGTTATTAAATTGTTAATGTCATCAGGTATCCCCCTTGCCCCCATCCCCTAACAGAAGACTGTTTTAGTTCACATGATATAAAAGAAAGAAGGAAAAATAAAAAAATTTGCAAAAGTTTTTTTTTATTTTTGCAATTTTTATTATTCCTCTTTAATTTGTGTGGGGGTTTTTACCAATCTGATTGGATCGATATTTTGACAAAAAAGAAAAATCTTTTTTTCCTTTCTTTGAATCCCATTACTTTGTAAAAATTGTTTTATTTTTATTATTTTTTTTGTTTTTTGTTTTTCTTCTTCAAATGAGCGAATGGTCATCTTAAAAAGATCCACCTTCAAGGAAGGTAGTAAAGTTAGCTGGCTGGGTAAAAATCCCTGCACATCGCTATCTATGTATATTATATTCAACAACGACAGCTATGAAAGAACATTCAATGCATCAAAGGTATTTTTTGTTTTTTTTTTTTCTTTTTTTCTAAGCATTATAAAATCCTTTCCTGGTACACCTCAGGATAATCCAATGTTTTAATACTTAGGCAACACTGGCTTATAAAGTCCATGGTTGAATATAAGCCTTGAAAAGTTTGTTTCTCTCTCTTTCGTGTATGTGTGTGTGTGCGCGCGTGTGTTTTGTTCGTATATATTTCTATATATATTTTAGTAAGTAAGAATGGGAAATTCAGGACTTGTGGGCTTTGTTGGTTTTAAAGGAAACTTGCAACACTCTGTCTCCCAGGCGGTACCCGTTGAGGCTGGCGATGGCCATGGCCGCCTCATCATAGTTGGTCATGGTGACAAAGCCGAATCCCTTGCACTTGTTGGTGTTGAAGTCACGAATCACCTTTACGTTGTTCACTGCTCCAAAGGGGCCAAAGAGCTGCCAGAGGACACTCTCATCGGAATCGGGGGACAGGTTGTAGACAAAGATGCACCACCCAGTTCCTGTGTGACCAGGGATGTTCATTCCCACAAGGCTTGTCATTCCATCAATGGTAATTGGGGAGAACCTGGGGGGACAAGCAGAAGGGGGGACTGGTCCAGACATCAGTCTGACCAAGGATAACACACAGATGCACAGACACAGACATGGGGCAGAGGGCTGAGTGAGTGTTTACAGGAGAGTCTTCAGGGTTCAAAAACCAAAATGTAAAAACTAATGTCTATGTCATTTCCTCTGATGGGAATGGCTTGACTGGCTAGGGCATGTTCATGCTGAGAGAAAGACCTAGGTCAATTTCTAAAAACCATAAGGGACTCCCAGGGCTCCCAGAGCAAGGCTCTGTAACAGTTCTATCACAGTATATGCTCATAGCGCACCCCAACCTGACTCCACCCCACCCCGACTCCACCCCACCCCAACAATAGACAATGTGCTCTTGGAGGAAAGGGTCTATTTCATTCATTCTGTGGCTCTATTTGTTTATTCAGTGGAGCACATATGGGAATCTCACAGATATAGTGACACATAGAAAATGCTCAATAAATATTTATTGGTTGAATAAGTGACTCACTTTGGCCAGTGCTTGGGAAATTTCATTGTTTTTTTTTTTAAAGGCAGATTAGGAGATGGCCCTAAAGTGCTTAAGTCTACCATTTTTGCACTCCCTTGACCTACGGTTGTCAAATGTTTCTTGGTGAGGATGGAGATACGTGACAATGAACAGGCCTTTCTTGCTATTAAACAGATGGGTGGTTCATGTTTCATTTAGCATTTATTCAAAAGGGTTTCCCCCACAAACTCAAGCAATAATAATAAAGATGTATTACTCCTTTATGCTATGTTATCTGGAATTTATTCCTAAGTATCACTGAAGCAAGACTGCAAGTGGTTTGTGCATTTATATATCTTGAATCGCTATACATTAGAAAAGCATAGAATTGTTATTTGCCCTATTACAACTGCTTTTGTATTAGGTTTAGAAATCTTCTCAGTTTTTGTGCAATCCTGAAAAGAAAAAATGACCCTTTAAATTCTATTCACTGTCTGATGAAATAAATCCTTGTGTAATTTGTGAGGGATGTACCAGATGAAACAATTAGGTTACCAGTGCCTATAGCAGAACAATATTTGTTAATGTTTTGTTTCATATCAAACTTACATAGGGACTTTTTTCTTTTTTTTTCTTTCTTTCTTTCTTTCTTTTTTTTTTGAGATGGAGTCTCACTCTGTCACCCAGGCTGGAGTGCAGTGGCGTTATCTTGGCTCATTGTAACCTCTGCCTCCCGGGTTCAAGTGATTCTCCTGCCTCAGCCTCCTGAGTAGCTGAGACTACAGGCACGCACCACCATGCCTGACTAATTTTTTTGTATTTTTAGTAGAGACGGGGTTTTGCCATGTTGGCCAGGCTGGTCTTGAACTTCTGACCTCAGGTGATCCACCCACCTTGGCCTCCCAAAATGGTGGGATTACAGGCATGAGCTTATATACGGATTTTTGATGCTATACACTGAATAGTTTCTTGCTTTTCATTTGGCCAGGGTTTTACTGGGGGAGATAGGAAAAGGAGAGAAAGCAAAAACTAGGGAAGAGCATGGTGTAAAGTGTGAGCTACAACTGTTTTTAAAAATAAGCAAATATTCTTGGAGATTTGAAAGTCCTATTAAAGAATAGTTCTGTATCTAACTAGAATTTGGATAATCAAATGGCTACTGAATATATGCTAAATATAACAACTCAATAGACAATATTTTTGCTATTATTCACTAAGTCAATCTTCCCTCTTGTTTAAAAACAATTAACAAGAAAAAGCCAAAAAATATCATGGTGTAGATCCTTAGACGTGCAAATCCATGTCTATTTGTAACTTGTATCATTTCTGAAGATTGTCTTTTTAATATTCTATCCTCCAACCAAGTGAGTTGACCCTGGTGAACTGACCTCTTTCTGTTTATAGGTAGAAAACAGCTAAGTATTTATTATAAGTCAAAGGTCAGGGCCAGCAAAGAGATTGCAAGTACAGCCTCTATCCTAGTTGGTGACAGTTAATTGCAGCATTTTGGTAGGAAGCGTTCTAAATCCAAATCTGGGTTCAATAGGAAAAGAGAATGCTATTATCAGCTAGTGATGTTTACTCTGGGTGGGGCAGTGGAGGAGGTGGTGGCAGGCCTACTACAGCTGTGTCTTCCCCTATCTTATCTATTTATAAGCATTTCTCTTTTCACAACATTTAGCACTACCTCACTAACATCAGAGAGGAGCAAAGGAATGAGATAGAGCTAGGAAAGATGTAAAATCCCTGGGAACAGGCAAACAGTGTGCTGGAAATGTGGAGATAATTCATAGTTATCCTCATTGATGCTGGGATTGAGATTTGAAAGGCCGGTCCTCTGATAGTGAAGTCTGCAGTCAGGTTACTTCCTCTACCATGCACCAGTTCCCAGAGTCAGGGTACTTACCATGGATGGCCAGTGAAAGAACTGGGGGTGTGATGTGGACTATTAAAGACTACATCTCTTTCCCTTGACTGTAGGAAGGGGAATTAAAGTGTGCAGCTCTACTGAGCAAGATGATGAAGACACTATGTCCCTAGCAGTGCAGTGGAGCTTATCAGAAGCACATATGGGAATCTCATGGACACAGTGACATCACACACCCAACTTTCCAAGATTCAGATTTCATACTGGGTCTGGAAAACTTTGAATCTGCATTCAGAGAGCCCCAAAAGCCTTGACTCTGGGCCCCCAACCCCACAAAAAGCCTTTCAGTGACAGGAACAGCAAGTTTAAAACACACATAACATATAACCAAGGGAGGATTTATAAGAACTGTTAAAACCTGTAACAAAAGAAACCCCTGGTTGAGGTGCACACAGATACACTTCATTCTCAGGATGTGCTCTGAAATGCACACTGAAGTGGGGGCAGGAGTTAGAAAGTCATCCACGTGTTTGTTTATCCTTTGGCCAGAGCTGGTAGTCCAAAATCTAATTTTTCTACTGAAAAATCATAAGATTGTCAACCACAATTAGCAAAATGTTCTAATTCTGATTTGCTGGAATCTGCCCTCTTAACTGAATCTTGGCATTGCTAATGCAAAACAGTTTGCTCTGCAAGTTTGCAAAACCAGCCAGCAAAGAGTCGGAGCCTTTCCCCTTAGGGGAGCCATTCAAAGGACCAGATTATTAAGGGCTTGGTAGCTGTGGCACCTGAACCATAGGAGAAGCCCACCTGCAAATAAAAGAAAAAGTGAAACACACAAATACATTTTGTGTGCCCTAAAAGAAACAAAATCAACTGAGGTCCGAAATTAAAATTAAGAATTTGACATGCTGGTGGAAGAAAAAGGAAGAATTTTTTTCTTTTAAAGTAAAGTTAGTGAATTAAAAAAAAAAAATTCTAGCCCCAGTCTGTGCCAACATGGACATCTGGCAATCTGTGGAGTTTTAATTACCTCTTTACGCCATAGGCCATATTAAGCAAATTGTCCAGCCTGCAAAGAGAAGGAGGGTCTCTGGGTTAATGCCTCACAGATGGCAAGATCGCTCAATGGAACTATTAATAAGAATGCTCCATTTTCAAAGAAGAAAAGCTCAACAACTTTCCCCACTGCTTAGGAGTCTATCCACCGGTAGTTTCCCCCTTTTCTGTCTCTAACTGCAAGTAATTCATGTTCAGGTCATTGCTAGAGTTTAAAGCAAGTGTCTAATGAGTCTCCCTTTCTTTCAAGGTCTGAATTAATACCATTCCCCCCACCTCTCAGAACATTTGTGTGGATTTTGTTTTATATTGTAGTGAAATTGTTCAAAGCGGGGGCTTCTTAAATTGTTCACCTTTTTACTATAATTAAACTTGTAAATAAAGGTCTCTGTTCCAGATTAACAATACACAGGCACACAATATGTATCAGAACAGATCTTTTCTGTTAGCCTTGCTACATTAACTAAATCATCTTACTACACACATTTTTGGGAGGCAGGGGGAGTTTGCAGGTTAAGATTTTTAAAAAGTGGCTTACTGTTTACTGCCTGATAGCACCTCCCAGCAAACTGCCATTACGCTATAATCTTCCTCACATTCACTACCTTACTTGGGGACAAGCTATTCACACCATAGGGCAGTAGTAACGATAGTTTCCACCATTAGAAGTCTGCTGGAGAGGCTTTTTACATAAATACTGCATGTGCTCTCAAGCAAAATAAAAATTAGATGACTTGGACTCTTCATGAAATCATTAACCATTTCAAATTCACAGGGCATAGGAGGACACGAAAGAGGATGATTTTTCTCCTCATGTAGCCAGATGGAGCATACTATCCTAGATAGAAGGACCTACTATTTCCCATGTGAAGTTTCTCAAAGAGAAAAACATTTTCATCAAAGGGAAGCTGGGCTGTGGTGTGGAATAAAGTAATTGTTTAGAATTTATCATGGGTAAGTCAAACATATTTTTATCTCTTGTATAATAGAGACCAGTCAAGGTCATACTGCCTTCATGGAGAGAAACCTGTCTTTTAGAAAAGTCCCAGGAGAAGGGCAATGCCCCCCTGCCCCAGGAGCTTCCTGGGGGTTGGGTACTTGAAGGAAACACTAATCAGGCTTGGACAGGATCTTCCTCCCTATCTTCCCAGAATCTACTGACTTAACATAATAAGGTTAACACCAAAGGCACTTCCCCCTCCCCTGAACTCAACAGAGTTACCTGCCGAGGGAAAAGAAGATAGGAAAAACAACTCCTTCTGGCAAGGATCTGCCTTATGGTCTATTTTTTGAATTTATTAAAAGCCACTGTCCAGCCTTAAGTCTAATCTGCTGAATGTGGTCACTGATCTGTGATTAACTCTTGTTGAAACTGAACCTTCATGTTTGGTTAAATACAGACATTTTGTTTCTACCAAAGAATCTAAAGTTTATACAGTCACAGTAGTAAATTGGAAGAGGGCTTAGAAGGGCATCTGCTCCAACTGTCTCATTTTACAGGAATGGAAACTGAGGCTCGGGGGGAGTTTTGCACAGTGATTCCTGGGGGTGGAAGCTTTTACCCTTGCCCCATTTGTCAGGACCATGGGCTTCCCTGGCTCTTGCCCAGCTATGAACCCCTGTAGCAGGGCTTCTTCCTCTTTGGGCATGCCTACCTGAACCTCTGAGCCTGGTGGTGAAGTGGACCTGGGTAGCGCCGGTTGGGGGACTGGTAGAGCTGGGAGAGCAGGGCCTGGCTGGACTTCTGGCTGGGGTTGTTGGCAAACTTCACAGTAATCGGTTCCGTAGCACCGCTGGGCTTCTGGCCATTCAGCCCTTTGATGGCTTCTTCTGCCTCAATCCTCTTATCAAAGCGGATGAATCCCACCCCTCTGGACACTCCTGGGGAAAGAGAAAGAGCCTTTGTAAAGAGTGAACACACCAAACTGGTAAACATCTTTGGGAAGAGATGGGTCCTGTGGATATTGTGTGAGGAGTAAGCCCACCTGTGGTGCCAGGGCTGAGCCCAGCTCCCTGATCTCTCTCACCAATCAAAACACGTTTACCTGCATTCCTGCTATCATGGCTCTGGACTGATGCCTCCCAGCCACAGAACACAGGGCTCTCTTGCATCTGGCCCCTCTAGTCCTCTATCACTGCTCTGCCCCATCATCACCTCCCAAAAGTTACTATAACTGATCACTCACTGTCCAGTTTCTAGTCTTCTCATGTGTCCTCCACATGTAGCTAGTGTGCAATCTATTTGAAAAGTGAACTCTGACCACATGATATGCTTTAAAAACATCTTCTGTATCTCTTTTGTACTTTTTGAATTTTGTACCTTGTGCATAGTACCTATTCTTCACTGACTCCCATTCTAAAATGAATAACAAACAAACAAAACCTACAAAATACCCTTCCATGGCTCCATTCTGCACCCAGATAAAGTCCAGACTTCTTGGCACAGCATTCAATGCCTCTGGCAATCTGGCCCCAAATTCCCTATTGAGGCTCACACCAGCCACCCTGAACTGCCTGATCCTCCTCGAATAGACTGTTCTTCCTCGATTCCATGCCTTGGGATATGCTCTCCTCTCCACTTACACTGCTCTGTCCCTCCTTTTTGCTGGATACCTCTGAAACATCCTCCAAACTCCTATTCAAACATTGCCTCCTCAATGGGGCCCTCCTAGCAATTCCCACCAGGCATGGCACACCTTCTCCTGAGCTCTCAGGGGCACTTGACAGCTTCTAGCAAGTATTTGGACTCCACACTGGAGTCCTGTAAGGGTGGGGCAGTGCCTGCTTCTTTCTTGGTCTCCAGGGTCCCTCTGCACAATGTCTAGGGCAGAGCAGACTTCTGTGAAGGTTTGTCTCATGAATCACATGATAAACGTGCTAAACTATTCTCAGGGGGTGAGTTCTAAATTGGAATCAAATTGGAGGTAGGCGAAAACACCTTGTCATTAAAAGTGCAACCCAGAGTACCTGACATTTCTTACTGAGAGGTGGTGGCTGCCTTTCTTTATTATGGACAAAGAACACCAGTACCAGATCCTCGGTTCAGATCCTTGTACTGCTACTAACTAGCTTTGGGGAGTCAGATCCCCCACTTTCAACCTGTTTCCTCAAGTGTGAAATGGGACAATTCCTTCTAACTCTATAATGCTATGAATTGGAGTTACAGCTATGCATACAGGTTCTTTTCACATACAAAAGTAATGTTATTTGGTTGAGGGCTGAATCAGACTTTGAAGGTCATACAGTTCCACTCTCAGCCTGATGCCTGAATCCTTTTTACAACCCTGGCAAGTAGTTTAGCTGCTGCTAAAACAAGTCCCATGATGGAGAACTCCTACCTCCCAAGATGGCCCATTTTAAATTTGGGCAGTTGACCGATAAGAAGTCTTTCTTCCAAGTCAAAAATCTGTCTATTCATGATCCATATCATCTGCTTTAAGCAGCCATCAGCCTTCTGCTCTTATGAGTAACAGGGCTGATGACATTGATATACAAGGAAAGAAATTACAAAGAAACACTTAACCTGTGACTTGATCAACCAGGATTCGTGAGGTGATGATACGGCCGTATTGCGAGAAAAGTTGCTCCAGTTCCTTCTGGGTCATGGTTTTGGGAAGGCCGCTAACATAGAGGTTAGCATCCCTGATTGAGGCAGAGCTCGGACGGGCATATGAGACCTAGGAAAAGGCAAGAGGAGCTAATTCCATTATAGGCAATCACCCTCAGAGTAGATGCTGAGTCCACAACCAAGATGACAGCCCCTCATCTACCGTTACAACTCATGGTGTCAGTTTAAATCACTCAGTAGTTCAGATTTTTAGCTACCCTTGTAATAGTAATGAGAACCAGGAGAACAACAATAGAGGAACAACAGGAGAGTTGACAATAACTTAAAACAAATGCACAGATAAGGGTCTCTAAGTGCAGAACAAAATAGCTACTGTATGGCAGCTGTTAAATGCAGAGCTACCCACACATGGAGTTCTGAAGATTTACCTCCTGGAAGTGGGTGTATAGATGATTTACTGTATCCAACACATAATAATCTTTGAATAAACCAGAAAAAAAAAAAAAACCTCATGAAATTCTGCTCTGCACATTTCTCTCCTTGCCACCCTCCCTACCCCCATCCCCTTCTTCCTGAATACATAAAAGCAATCAGGTTCTCTGCAAGATTTTTTTATGTTCCATCCTTTGTGTTGCTCCAGTCTGTTCCCATGAGGTCTGCTCTCACCAAATGACAAAGTGCTGGTGAAATAGGGCTGAATGAACATCTGCTTGCGAAACTGGATATGTGACCTTGTCGTCACATCTGCAAGGACCAGTCGCCTCTAACTTTGAAGCAGGGCAGATAAAAACCACAACAAATAAAATGGGGGCAAGATGGAAAGGAGGGAGGGAAAGGGCAGTAGAGAGAGAGAAGAGAGCCTCACCAATGGTTATAATAAGTTCGACTTTGTAAATTTGTCCTCCCAGATCTCTCAACTGCTTTTCTTCCCCCCAAAAGCTAACACAGAAGTGTAAACAGATCTGAAATTCCATCTGCAAGAAGCCAAATCTGTAGCAGTACACATAAGCAAAGCAAACCCCAGCAGTCATTAATTTTAGACTTTCATTTACTTATTTATTTATTTTTTAAGAAAACAACATCAGACATTTGAAATATAATTTACAGCTAGTCTAACAAAAGCACTTTCCTGCTAAAGCTATTTCTGGGGTGGTTATGGCTCAGAATAGATGATGAAAACAGTCATTTCAGAGCACATCTGACAACGTTGGACAGGAAGAGACCTATATGCCTTAGCGTTTTTCAGTTGGAAGTTCTATTTAATCCATACAACTGATTCATAAGACCTATTAAGACTGTAGGGGTGAGAGTGTGTGTGTGTGTGTGTGTGTGTGTGTGTGTGTGTGTGTGTGTGCGTGCACACAAAAGCATGTGTGCAAAAGGAATTGAACACATTAAACCAGACCTTTGACATTAAGACCTAAACCTCCAGCAGTAATGTGGACCCTGCTTCTGTGACCTTCAGGGGAGAGAATGGGTCTAGCAAAGAAGATGAAGGATGAGCAGAACCCTCATCCATGGCACTCTCCCCCTTTCCATGACAGACATGCCAGGTCCCTTTATGGGTTCCA
Organism: Homo sapiens; assembly: GCF_000001405.40. Classification (NCBI taxonomy): domain Eukaryota; kingdom Metazoa; phylum Chordata; class Mammalia; order Primates; family Hominidae; genus Homo; species Homo sapiens. The sequence goes on along the minus strand of NC_000001.11, from coordinate 50,192,302 downwards.
TGCCTAAAAATAGATGTTGACTCAACAGATAAAATGATGTGAGTGACTAATCTGCCTCCCTGGCCTCCTCCTGCTGATGGAGTGAGGCAGCTGCCTTCAGTATCTCCATCTTCTAGAAACTCACGGGTGGGCTGGGAGGCCTCTGTGGGCTCCTTCTCAGCACATGGCTGAGATGTAGAGGGGCCTTTATATAGGGGGTCCCAGTGTGTGCATTTGCAGTGTGGGCTGAAGGACTAAGAACCCCATGTGACTGTCTGGACAGGGCTTCACTCCACAGAAGGTTCTCCCACCCCTGTTCTTTAAGGGACAAAGTGTGTCAATAGCAGAACTATTTTTTGAGTAAGAGGAAGAAGTGGAAGAAGGAAATAAAAACATCATAGTGATATGCCCATGGCAATGAGGGTCACCCTTGTTTCACCTTGCCAATTACTGACAAATTAATTATCCGAATGACATTTGTGCTCCCTCAAAACACAACCTACCACCTTTATACCTTTGCTCATACAGACATTTTTTTTATACCTACTTCCTCAAGTCCAAATCCTACTCCTCTTCAGGGCTCAGATCAAATGACATCTTCTCTAGGCAGCTTTCTCTAATCTCACCTTCTCCTAAAAATCTCCCCAGCAGTGTTCTCAATGAACCATGGTACTTAACCCGTTTCAACCTTAACTGACCACCTCTCCATCTAGGCTGATGATCTCTTTAGGTTGTAGGTCTTGTGTGTGTGTGTGTCCTATTCAACTCTGTGACTCTAGCTCCCAGCACATAGCCTGATACCTATAAAGTGTTCAACACCTACTGAAAAAATGAATAAACACCCACAGCTCATGAGAAATGATGTTGATATTATTGGCTCTTTGGAGTTAACTGTAACTCCAGTAAGGTGGACCACTGAGAGTCAGGCACCCAGAATCCCAGCTGTGTTTCTCCACCAAGCTAAGAGCTAAGGGACATATTTCCCATTTTCCAATGCCTGGGGCTGGAAGGACTGAAAGAAGATTGTTCTAGGACTAGACCTCACATAGAGGCCTTCTCTTAGCAAATATTTCCTGAGGATCTACTATGAGCCAGGTACAGTGGTATGTGTTGGCAACACAGCAAGAACAAGGCATAGTCTCTTGCTGTAAAGGAACTCCAAGTCCAAAGAGGGCAACAGACAACACATAAGAGGCACTCAATAAAATGTGTTGAACAAAAGAATGGATGAGTAAACATACAGACCAATTATCACAGTGCCACAAGATGTGTGTGTTATGCCAGGGATACATATGAGTGTGACTAAAACACAGAGGAGGGAGAGATTAATCAAAGGTTAAAAGGGCCGGGAAGGAGACACAGCTGAGCTGAGACTGGTGGTGAGAAAGGTGGTGGTGGAGTCAGGTAATGGTGGCCTGATAATAGCCTTCCTCTGTCACGAGGACAAATGAGGTGATGAAGATCAAGGGCTTAGCACAGTACCTGGCACCCAATAAATGCATAATGGATAGTCATGACCTTAACTCCCATTAGTTCTGCACAGCCAGAGCTAGGGTACAGAGGGAACAGGGTGAACCCTGCCAGGGAAGAGGAGCTGGCACTTGAAAGTTGGTGACACAACAAAAACCATTTCCCCAAAAGTTGATTCCAACATAGGTAGAATCTCAGCTAGGGAGAATTACTGCAACACATCTCCAGAGACAGACCCTAAATCCCCAAAGGCAGCAACAAATCCCAAAGGTGAACAGCACATCAATCATTCTCTACCAAGTCTAATTCCTGTTTAGTATTTCTCACCTATATGGAACCTTAAGTCTATTGTTCTCTCAGTTTCCTGTCCATGAAACCTGTGGCGTATGGATAAACAAAAATGACAGAAAAAAGATCTTCCTGCATTGAATATCCAAATGTTCATCCTAGTACCTAAAATTTTCAACTTTCCATATACATGTATTAAATTCTAACTGAATGACTACAGTGGTCAGGCCCTTGGTTAGGCTGAAAGATTTCCAAAAAATTGCCAATTTTCAGGGTCAGCATTGATGGCATATTAATGCCCCTGGGCCAGTGGCCTGGAGTCACAGGGCTTCCAACACTGGAGCCAGCGCCCTGGAGAACCCCCCTTGCCTCAGTCAGGATCCTGTTTGCTTCATTCATCCAGAATCTCTGAAGACAAGACTGGCATCTCTAGGCCAGCACTGACCTCCTTCTGGAACTCAGAAAGGGCTGGGAGTGAAGAAGCCACTCCTCTCTCTGGGTAGGGGTGGCTCAAAGCCAGGTGACTGTAAGCAGCTGACTTTACAGATGATCTCTATGGAAGATCTGAAGTCCCTCCAAGCTCCTCAGCTCTCCCCATCCCTGGTGCTCACAGTCTTCCCATCCTCCACCAGAAGGATGCTATAGCATCATGCTTATGATCCCTGACTGTGGGTCAGCTCCAGTACTCACTAGCTGCATGACCTTAGGCAAGTAATTTGATCTTGATAAGTCTCAACATCTTTGCTCGTAAAAAGGGGGTCAATTATCCTTTGATGGGTTATTGTAAGAACTGAGTTGATATATTTGTCTAGCACATACCTAGAACTTAGTAGATACTTACACATATTATTATGTGATGAGTCATACAGGCTTTTGTGGGCCAGCCTGGGAATCTAGCTCCCATTGGGACATACCCTCCAATTTCACCGGAAAAAAACCCCCAAAAAACAAACAAAAAAAACATGTGGAACACTACCAGGGAATGCCTGTAGAGGCACTGCCCTCCTCTGCCACCCTGGTGGGGTCTGGACCATCTTTTACCACTTTACTGACATGAATGTCCTCTAACACATTTCCACAGATCCCACTGCTTTATGCCGACAAAGTACTTTCCACTTTCCAAAGTGACTTCCCAATTCTGCTCTCAGCAAGTCTCACCAAGGTGGGTAAAGCAGGCGTTGTCATTCATCACAGATGGGGCATCAGGACGAGGGCTGAGGGCTGCCTCTTCCCATGCAGCACCCACAACTCCCTTTACCTGTTCATACACAGGGCTTGGCCTGGGCAGGGTGGGAAGAACAGCATGACCTGAGGAAGAATGTTCCCTGAATCATCCAGCAATACCTCACTCCTTGTCTGTCCTCCATAATACAGAAAAGGGAGAGGACATGGAAAACACGATAAAGGCATGTTGGGTGCAATGAGGAGGATAAAATGAGAGGGAAAAGGCATCCTTTTTAGCCCCAGAAAATTGCTCCTTTAGAAAAACACTGGCATTAGAAGATGGGAGTTCATTCATTCCTCCCCTTCCTAAACATCTACTATGTGCCAGGCCCTGGGATGGGTGTTGGGAATGTCTCTGCTTCACGAATCCCAGTCTGGAAAGGAAAGTAAACAAATGAAGCATGCAATACAGAGGGCTGCTTCCAACAGGGAGATACTCATTTCCCACTCCCAGTGTTTCCTTCCATGTGGAGAGAACCCCCTGCAGCAACAGACCAGGCCTATTGCTATCCCTTCATCCACTCTTCCCCAGGGAAAAGAAGTGACTCCTCTGAATGGAGGCTTCAATAAAAGAAATGGGCATGTGAGGCTCAAATGCTGCCTGCTTCTTCCCTTCTGGGAGCCAGACGCCAGCTGGAAGCACACATTCTGTTCCAGGCTCTCAGTCTTATGGGGGCAGGCTCTGCTCTCGGCCTGTGGGGTCTAGAGCACTTGTGACAGGGTGTGTCAGTCTGTCAAAGTGTAAAGTTCAGTGTTATGGAGCCCACTGTGTCCATGCAACCCATCCAGGCCTTAATTGGCAATAAAGATGACCTTAGGATTCCATACACTTTTCTCTTTTGTCTTACTTCTCAATTGGTTTAGAACTTGGATGTGGAAAACAGCAACGCCATTTGTTGGGCCCCTGTGGATTAGAGTAATGACGTGGCCTCTATCATTGACTGGATTTTTTTCATGAGCCAGGCATTCTGTTCACAAAACTGCAAATTTCTATAACTGTGGTTCATAGTAAGTGGAGACATAGTAAGTGTCACATAAAGGTGACATACAGTGGCAATGGGGAACTCAGCAGAAAGTTATATTCCTGAAATCTGCTTCACAGAAATTTGGTGCTGGAAGTGGCCCCAAAAGTTCATGGCATGATCCAAGACAGCCGACCATTCAATGTATACATTTCCAAGGACAGGAAGCTCACCACCTCATGAGGCATCCTACACTATTGCTGGCCATGATTAATTTTTTTTTTTGAGACCAAGTCTTACTCTGTTGCCCAGGCTGGAGTGCAGTGGCACCATCTTGGCTCACTGCAACCTCTGCCTCCTGAGTTCAAGCAATTCTCTTGCCTCAGCCTCCCAAGTAGCTGTGATTACAGGCATGCGCCACCATGCCCAGCTAATTTTATATTTTTAGTAGAGAAGGGATTTCACTATGTTGGCCAGGTTGGTCTCGAACTCCTGACCTCAGATGATCTGCTCGTCTCAGCCTCTCAAAGTGCTGGGATTACAGATGAGAGCCACCATGCCCAGCCTCATTAATTGTTGAAAAGTTTTTCCTTCTACTGAGTTCACATCTGTCTCCCCTGTAGCTTCCATTCTTCTATTATTATTCTAGCTTCACACCCCAGGGCCATCTTTTCTGTCCTTACCACCCCTTATCCTATGGGTCTCATTGATAGGTGCTAGTTAGAGTATTGGGTAACTATATTTTGAGACAAATCACTCCAAAGAAGTTCTTGTTTATGTTACTTTAACTGAAAGTGAGCACCTGCTCTAGAATGAAAAGGAGGCAGCAATTAAGAGCAAGTGCTTTGGGGTTGGAGAGATGTGGACTTGAAACCTGACCGTTATTAGCTGTGTGACTATGGGGTGAGTCACTTAACCTTTCTGAGCTGCATCACTTGAATACATAGTTTAGAAGCTCTGTTACAGAGCTGTTTGAGGGTTAAACAAGAAAATGCATTTAAGACTTCTAGGCACAATGCCTGGCACACAGTAAATGCTCAATAAACAATGGCTTTGATACACTTGCTGTATAATCAGGCCTTATGCTAGACACCAAGGGTGTAGAGATGAATACAACAGTCCCTGACATGTAGGACTATTAGTCTAGCAGAGGAGACACACACACACAAACCAATCATTTCAGAAGATCAGGCTGCAGATTTTCCCCAATCTGTTGTAACACCCTTTTCTCTGAGTGCATACAAACTCCCCAGAGCAGACAAGTCCCTGGGGAGATGAGGAGAATGGAATCAGGGAACAGATTCTGATGCTGCCAGGGCCTTCTAGGAACAAATCCTCTCAAGGACCTACAATCCCACCTCTAGGAGCAGGGACAGAAGAAAGAAGCCAACTGGTTCCTGGAAACCGCAGCTTTGATTGTGAGGATCAGTTTACCTCTGTGCCTGTGGCTGTAGGCCTGTTCACAGGCAGGACAGGCATCTGCTTATGTAGCACCACTCTTTACACTTCCCCTACCTGCCACCTGATACGTGCTATTTTATCAGAGGTGAAACTTCATGGAAATGGTTCTAATGAGTTCCGATTGTGCCATTTTGTGATGGGAGTCTAAACCCCTTACCTGGGCATTCAAAGCCCTCTGGAATCTGGCCCAACCTCTCATCTCCTGCCAACCCCTTCATGCACCCTATGCTCCAGTTCAGACAAAAACATGTCACAGTTTTCTGAATATGTCCAGAAAATTTCTATTTCTATGTCTTTGTTTTGCTGTTTGTTCACCATCATGGCAGAATAAACTCCTGCCCATCTTTCTAAGCCCATACTGAATGCCACCTCCTCCACGAGTCCCAGGCACAAATGACTCTCCTCTCCTTTGACTCCACAGAAGATACACAGCAGTATATTTCAGTGGCAATAGTTACACTTACCCTACCTCCCACTACAGGCATCCTGATCCCAGATCCCAGGCACTACAAGTGTGATAACACCTTACCTGCCCTATGAGTCTGAGCATTCTGGTGATCTCCATAGACCCCTGTGGCACCTAGTCTCAAAGCTTTATCAGGGCAAGAGCTCAAAAAAAAATGCTCTCTCAAGTGAAATGAAATGTATCATATACTTTATGCCGCGGATTTTAGCTTCTTTTCTAAGAGCTGACTCTGATGTGATGAAGAAGCCAGAAAGAATCATGCAGTTAAAGGGTATCTACGAATATCATAAGGGTGTCTGGCACCTAGTAGGCCAGACAAGTATTTCTTTTAAAGAATAGAAAAGATGTGACGATAGATTCATGTGTCTTGCAACTTCTTTTAAAATATCTATCAAATTATCAAAGAGGCATACTTAGTACGTACTAAGTTCTCTCTGTCTATCTAGTGGCCTTCAGAAGGGAGAGCTGTGTAAAGGTCTCATGGCCTGGTTAGTGGAATATCTGGTCTTGGGCTCAGGGCCCCAGATTCAGTCTCTTCACTAGACTGCAACTCCTGGCTCCTGCTTTATAAAAGACTGATACGATTACTGTGGCCAGCTGGAAGCTTCATAATACTTTCCCCTATACAAAGCTTTTTATATATGTTGCCCGAATCTTAGTAAAATTCAGACTCATTCTTTACTCCCTTACTCATCACTGAAACATGTAGATGGAAAAAAGTCCCCCCCTCTCCTCATGTAATGTTCACTTTAGGGATAGCACCATTCACCATCATCTTCATCCTGGGGAGCATTTCTTGAGCATCCACTGTAAGCTACGATTCCCTACAAGTAAGATATCATTAGTTCCATTTTCCAGATGACAAACTCTGGCTCAGTGAGATCAAGTACTTATCCAAGGTCACACAGCTGAACTAAGAGACAAACTGGGATATAATTCCATGTTCTGGGATGTTTCCACTATGGCACACTAATCCAGACAGTGAAATAAAAGCCGTGTGCTTGGCACAAACTGTTACTTTCCCTGAAAGGTTACCAAGCCAGAAAGATCACACTATAATTTGTTAGTTATACTGTTGGAACTGGAAAAAATCATTTTGCAGATGAGGAAACCAGTCCAAAGAAGTAAAGTAAGTTGCCCAAGGTCATCCTTAGCAGTTTTTGACAGAGCTGGAACTTGACTTTCCATCTGAACTCAGAGCTCTTTTGAATGGACAAAAGGGGAGAAGGAAGAGGAGTGTGGTGCTCTATGATCACTGACAGACCAGCCATCCTGCCCAGAGGCTGCAGGAGCACCATGGAGAAATGAGTCTTTAATCCGCAGGGCCACTGATGTTTTAGGCCAGCACTGTCCCACAGAATTTTCTGGGATCAGGAAAATGTTCTCTATCTGTGCTGTCTAATATAGGTAGCCATTAGCTACAAGTGGCTACTGAGCACTTCAAACATGCCTAGTGTGACTAAGAAACTGAACTTTGAATTTTATTAAATTTTAATTAATTTAAATTCAAATATAAATAGCCATATATTGCTAGTGGCTACTATGCTGGACAGAGCAGCTCTACAATCAGAAATAACACAAAATTATAGCATCTTAGAGCTAGAAGGGACCTTTAGGATCATTTAGTCAGACTCCACTGTGGGACTGAAATCCTGTCTACATCATCCCTTATGAGTTCATCTGAATGCTTCCGATGATCGGAGCCTCATTACCACCCAAGGCAAACATTCTACTCTGATAGCTACACAGGTTCTCTTCCCAGATTCTTGAAATATAGGATCAAACTAATGCCTCAGGGTCACTGCAGAATTTTCTTTCCTAGAGAATAGAAAAGCAACCATTGTGAGGTGAATCTGTGGGTGGGTGCAGAGACTTCTTTCCCATCTTTGTCATTCACCTTTAGACAATCTTTTAAAATATGAAGCCGAGAATGGGACATAAGACACTAGGATGGGCTGACCAGAGTGGACAAGAAAGGACCACTATTTTCTGTGATATGGAGTCCATAATTCTCCCAACACAACTAAAGTTGTGCTGATTTTTTTTTTTTTTTTGAAGCAGCTCACATCACATTGTTGGCTTCTTTTACACTTGAAGACAGCTAAAGCCCCCAGACCCCATTCCATGTACTTCTGAAAACCTGTGCCTTCCCAACCCATACCGGTCTAATTTCCTTTTTAGATGTGGACACAGGACACTATGAATGAACTTCAAGATACTGGGAACGTATCACCTTCACTGAGCAGAGAGAAGAGGGGAATTGTATTTCCATTTCTCCAACTCCTATCCTTGTATTTGAAATTATTCACTCAAAGGAAGTGAACAGGGCACTGGGAAGCAGAGCAGCCAAATAAAATCTCCCACAAGAGAGGGCTGCTAGCACAACTGGGGTAAACGTGTCTCTGGTTTCTGCTGGCATTGCCACGTGCTCTCTCTTGGCTCCCTGGGGATTCAGTGATCCAGCCGCCCCTGCTGACCTTGGCAGAGAAGCATTCTCGCCCAGGTTGTGACTAGCGGTAATGGAGGAGGAGAGAAAATGCCTTTTTACTATTAACAAGACTGAGGGAGGCAGTCCATCATTTCTGTGTGGGGTGATATCCATCAGCAAAAAATGATCTGCTAACTCTCCAGGAAGCATTAAGAGCAGTGATAGGAGAAATAATTGCTTATGCCGAATGCAAAGAAAAGATGCCTCAGCGGAATGGAGGCCCTTAGCAAGGCAGGTGGATGCAGGGAGGAGAGGGGGAGGCGCAGCTCCCTGACGACCCCTGGCAAGAGAAAGAAGTGGGAGGGGCAAACTGGAACCTGCAAAGCTCAAGTGTGGAAAGACCCCCGGAGGCACTGTTAGTGGTATTAGAAGAATAAAGCGAAAATGGAGAAGTGGTTAAGCAGCATCACAACAGGAAGAGGTGGAAATGAAGGAGCTCACTCTCCTTCCCAGAGAAGGAAGGTGTTTCCTTCTGAAAAGCCTTCCCTCACACACCTTCCCCTTCTCTACTCCTGCTCCCTCCAGAATTGGGCCACTGCCTCATGGCTAAGTGTCTTTCTTATTCTCTCACCGGCTGCCTGCCTGAGTGCTAACTCTCATAGATTTGCTCAGAGTGGCAGGAGCAGCTCTTTTACCCCTTCATCCCAGATCCAGTGCTGCAATCACTCACAATACCTGTCCTCTGGAAATATTTCATTTAAAATCATATTTTAATCCTTTGGGTAATAGCTTAATATAATTATTAGAAAAAGGTAAGTCACTAAGTCATTTGTGCACATATAATACAATAAAAAAAGGATGGAAATCGGCCGGGCGCAGTGGCTCACACCCGTAATCCCAGCACTTTGGGAGGCCAAGGTGGGCAGATCACTTGAGGTCAGGAGTTTGAGACCAGCCTGGCCAACATGATGAAACCCTGTCTCTACTAAAAATACAAAAATCAGCCGGGCGTGGTGGCAGGTGCCTGTAATCCCAGCTACTCGGGAGGCTGAGGCAGGAGAATTGCTTGATCCCGGGAGGTGGAGGTTATGGTGAGCTGGAATTGCACCACTGCACTCCCAAGCGAGACCCTGTCTTAATTTAAAAAAAAAAAAGGATGGAAATATATAAATATATAAAAATGTTAACACTGTTGGCTTAGGAATGGCTGATATTGCCTTCACGATATGATTCTGTACATACCAAATTATTTACAAAGAAGCATGTTTTGCTTTAAAAATGAGTGGATAAGGCTCCTAATAGAGCTGATGAAAACCAATGTCTAAGGCTGACAAAAACCTACCACAGCAGCCTGCAAGCTCTGGTTTCATCTGTCAAACATTCTATGTGGCACGTCGTTGACAGATGAACTTTCTTGGAACTTTACTTTGATCAGATCTTTTGCTCACTCAAACCTTGCACAGCTCCCTATCTCCCCAACCCCAATATCAAACAGAAACCTCTGCAGCCCCATGACTGCCCTGTCCCACTGCTTTAGAGTTGGTCCTTTGCATGTCTGTGTCCCCCATGAGACAGGAGCTTCTGGAGGCAGAGCCAGCAGTGAACGCTTGTTTAATCCTACTCCTGACATTTAGGTCAAAACGCAAACAGGTGTCCCAACACTCTGAAAGGTTTAGTGGGTGTGATACCAAACCCTCACATTCCATTTTGGATCACTTTTTACTGAAGGTTCTCAATGTAATTTGAACATCAATCCAAAACTTTGGTAAACGTATTTCTCTTTTGAAGGTACTAATTTTCTTTGTTCCTGATTAATGTGACAGAGCTGGACCAAATGCAACTTCACTGAAGCAGTTCTTAGTAAAAGGATAAAATTACAATGTAAATTCAGAAGCTGTTCTTTTGGAGCCCAACAGAAGGTCAGGCCTGGGACAGGCATCAGGTGTGGGGTCAAGGAGTACCAGGAATAATTTTTCAGAATCCACAGCCATTTGCAGAGTCTAAAATGATCCCTATTGGAGACGACTTTTAAAAACAAAGCTAGCCGGGCGCGGTGGCTCACGCCTGTAATCCCAGCACTTTGGGAGGCTGAGGCGGGTGGATCACCTGAGGTCAGGAGTTCGCAACCAGACTGACCAACACGGAGAAACCCTGTCTCTACTAAAAATACAAAATTAGCCGGGCGTGGTAGTGCATGCCTGTAATCCCAGCTACCCCAGAGGCTGAGGCAGGAGAATTGCTTGAACCCAGGAGGCAGAGGTTGCTGTGAGCCCAGATCGCACCATTGCGTTCCAGCCTGGGCAACAAGAGTGAAACTCTGTCTAAAAAAACAAAACAAAACAAAACAAACACACACATACACACAAACCAAAAACAAAGCTAAACAAATAGCATCCCAAACTCCTACATGAGGCAAGTCATCTCCACTGGGCTGGGCTCAGGGCTGAAACACTGAACAATGACCCAGTTTCCTAAGTGGGGTTCCAGGCTGCTCTGGCAGGCTAGTGAATGTAAGCCCATGGTCCATACTCCATAGCTCTCTGACTCACATGGATGGAAGAATCTCTAGGGCACTGTCATTTCTGATTCACCTAAATCCGAGGACCTAGCACAGAGCCTGGAAAGCAGGGACCCAAGAAGAAATGAAGTCAGGTCTGTCCCTAGGTTGATAGCAGAAGCCCTGAGCCATGTCTGTTTACTAAAGAACCTGGAGGAGACACACAATTCATTTGTTTGCTTTTTATTCTCCTTCCCATGCCAGAGAGTATAACCCATGTGTGCACAGAGCCAAATACACACCCACACACCCTCACAGAATGCACGTGTTGCTGAGCAAGCAGGCAGTGTGACATTCCAACACTTACGACCTACTGCCAGAGAGTTATTTTTAGAACATTTTTTCTTACTCCAAGTCTTGCTTATCAATTGTGTCATCCTGGGTGTGTCTCTAAGCCTCCTTGGGCCTCAGTTTCCTCACCTGTATAAAGGAGGTAATAGTACCTCCTGACAGGGCTATTTTAAGAATTAGAGTTGATGTGTGTAAAGCACCTAGCTCCAGGGATATTTCAAAGATGAAATGATATTAAGCATGTAAAAGGGTTATAATAGTATTGGATACAGAGTGAATACTCACTATAAATTAGCATTACTATTAATCTTTATTATTATTATTTCAAGCTCATGCTAACATATTAAGCAGCTCCTCTTCTGGCAGAATCCTTCAGAGGCCCTTTTGAAGCTAACTTGAGCTCCACTGCTGGCCTGTTGTATGGCTTTGGACAAGTCACTTAGTGTCTCTGAGCCTGATCTCCAAGATGTGTGGTGGGAACTTTCTCCCACTAAAGAAGTTATAACCCAAAGAACAATTCCCCTGGAGTCACCATCCACACTATGCATTGGAAGCTTAATTACACATCATGCTCTTTCTCTGCTTTGGTGCTGTGCCGATGCCTAGATTGCATGCTTCTGGAGAACAGAGGTCAGATTGCTCTCTGAATGCTGTCAGTATTCACACAGAGTCATGTAACACTGCCCCTAATAAAAGGGAAATGGATATTTGTTGACTGGGAACCATCATTTGTGGGTACCTCCTAGTACAGGTTGAGTATCCCTTATCAGAAATGGGACCACAAATTTTAGATTTTGGAATATTTGCATTATACTGATTCAACATCCTTAATCCAAAAACTTGAAATCTAAAATGCACCAATGAGCATTTCCTTTGAGTGTCATGTAGGTGCTCAAAAAGTTTCAAATTTTGGAGCATTTTGGGTTTCAGATTTTCCAATTTGGGATGCTCAGCCTGTAGTGGACCTGTAATGAGCCATTCACTACCAATTGGCAAAACGATGTTTTCATATTTAAATTTGAGTTCATTTTTTTTTTGGTGGGGGTGGGTTGGGGGGTGGTTTGCAAACTGCCTGTCAAAAGGTCAACTATTAAGTTCTGTTTGGCCCACCTACATAATTCTTAAAATTCTTTGAGTTATTTTCTAGCTTTTAAAAATTGGGAGATTGGCAGGAAAAAAATCTAGATTTTCATGTGTATTGGACAACTGGTAGATCTGGCAACAATCTGGGTTTAAACAGTTAGCAGCAGCAGCAGAATAGCTGTCTTCTTTACAGCTCACTACAGTCTCCACCGATGCCTTAGAGCTTTCCAGAACCTTCCCTGAATCCAGCTGTTAATCATTAACCTTCACAGCTTTGGAATTAACTATTGATTTGCCTGAACCTACTTTGTGCATAACATTTAAAGTAGAGTGTTTTGCACTCCAGAAATTTGAAAAGGAGGGGGAAATTTGACCAAAGTTCACAAACATGTACTAGATGGTCCTGAGACCTCTGTAATGTACGCTTCCAAAGAAGATACTTGGTTTTTTTCCAGATAGGCAAGTTAACTATTCCTTCATGGGAGTCAGAGCAAAGAGATAGATCTCATGTCACTTATCAAAGCAAACTGAAGCAGAGGTAAACAGTGGCCTGAAAGACAAAAAAGCAATTTAAAAAAATTAATAAATGATGAGACTATTAAACAGCATACAAAAGGGGTTTGCTTTTTTCTTTCCTTTAATATGATTTTTACCTTAAACATTGTGTCCCTTTAGAAAAGGGAAGAAAAGTTAATAAAGGAACCTATCACTCAAACTTAATTTTTAGTACAGCAAATAAACTGCTTTAATGAAAGGGCTGAAGTCCCCAGGTTTGCACATTAAATTTTCATTTGTAGAGGAGAATGGAAATTATTGATTCAGCCATGGCATCGTGCATTTTGAATCCTACAGTGTCTCAGAAGCCCACATTACCGCTGGGTGCAAATGTGTTGGCAGCGTTTTGATACAGGGTGGGTGAGGGGGTGGGGAAAGGAATATAGATAACGGAAGGAGGCAGACTGACTCTTTACAGAAAGAAAATAATCAATGATCCTTGTCTCTAAGATCCACTTAGATAAAGCATCTGATGGCATGATGGGCTAGGGGGTACATCTGAGACCAGAAAAGCCAGGTCTACTCAGTCTTTGGGGAACCACAGTGGCCTTATGGAATACTTAAAAAAAAAAAAGCAAAATGGAAAGTTGATTATTTGATCCTAAGCCCCTGGAGAAGAGTTGGGGTTTCAAGAAAACTGTAAAGAAAAGTACCTTTTTCAGTTCAAGGTCAGGGTGTCTGTCAAGGGAAGAGTAGACATCTGACATTCTAATGCTGAACTGGATAGCACAGAAAATCAATCAAACCTACAAATACAGCTCTCAGTCTAGTGTGGCCTCATCAAAGAGTCAGGTGACATGAGCATCCGTCTTTACTTAAAGCATGAAAATAGGTATGTTTTTACTTTGAAAGAAATTAATCCTCCTGCCTCTCAGAGGACTACCCCATAATTAAACAACTCTTGATTATTTCCTCATTAGAGAACTCATAGGAAATGATTCTAAGCCTAGACTGAGGAGCCTGAATCAGGTCCATTTTGGGATCTTTGTGTATCAGGCTGTATGAGATCAGGGAAAGCAATCATCTTTAGAAATAAGCTAAACTCAATTGCAAAAGTAAAGCTGCTTAAAAAAGAAAGAAAGATAATCACATATTCTAAAAAGAGAAAGGTTTTGCTTTGTTTTTGTTTTGATTACCTTCCAGCTAAGATTATCTTATACCAGTAGTCTCCTCTATCAGGCTGGATGTTGGAAAAGTAGCTTTGTTGGACTAAAAAGTTCTGGTTTTGTGTTTTCAGATGCTGAGAGCTGGTGCCATCTATAGATTTCCATTCTGGGAGAGGTTTCTCTTTTGTCCTACTTTGCGTCAGACCTGCTGTCGTGAGGATAAGAGCGCCCAGGAGACACTTCCCTGCAGTTTAATAGGCTATGAAAGATGGGGACTCATTAATTGGCTGGCAGCTGCCCCTAAGCAGGACGCTGCCTGGAGGTAGGGGAAGAAAGGGAAGGAAGGCCGAGGAGGAGGCAGGCTCCATCCACTAGACCACCACCGGCTGCCCAAGGGAATCCCCCAAGGCAAACAGCACTACCTCCTGAAGGATCCCATAGGTGAAGTCTGGACCCAGAGTATGACTATCCAGTGACAGAAACTTAAACCTCCTTCTAGAGGAGCAGGCTCTGGGTTACTGTTTTTCTTTTTTGACTTAAAACAACCCTTCCTGAGATATTATCTACCCACCTAATTATTTTCAGATTGCTGAAATGTTACTTTTTCTGTCATTCCCATACTATGTTCTCATCAATTTTATTATAGTACCCATCCCTATTACACTGGTGCGTTTATTTATAACTGATGCTCCCTTTTCGAGTCTCGATTAGGAGGGTCCTAACCACCCTTAGGTAAAGCCAAGCTGCAGCCTGGCACACAAAGCCTCCTGATTTGGCCCTGCCACCTCCCATCCTCATCTTTTCACCTTCCCATCCAAACTTAGGCCACACTATTTATATGCTGTCCCTGCTCACAACGTCTTACATTTTCACAGCTTTGCATGTGCTGTTTCCTCTGCCTGGAACAGCTTCCTGGCCTCAGCCTTTTCCCTTGGCTCAGCTCTGGCCATCTTTGCAGACTCAGGCTCACAGGCCCTCTTTGTGGGGTCTTGAATCCCAAATATCCCATCTGCCCTCTTAATTGGAGGTCTCACAGCTTGTGGTCCCTTCCCTCTACTCAACCCTCACCTCACTCTTCTGTAACACTCTGTGTCTCCCATTTAGTATAGTGGATGGTAAATGTTCTTTGAATAAATCAAGAACACTGCTTCCAGCCCCCACATAGCCTGGATTTACCAGATCAACAGAATGAAATTTAACCAGAGCCTCCTGAATCAGGAGCCAGCACATCACCTCTTACCTTTATGGTTTTGGTCTGGAGTCTGAGTCCATTTAAAGTGTTGATGGCTTTCTCTGCATCCTTTGGATCAATATAGTTAACAAATCCATACCCTAAACTCTGTCCTGTGGAAATATTAAAAAGAGAGAGAGAAAGGGAGAGAGAGACAGACAGAGAGAAAGAGAGAGAGAGAGAGCATGCTCAGTATCTTTATAGAGGCAACACTTCCCACTGCAGTGAGTCAAAACTCTCCTTTGGTATACAGTTCCTCTTACACCAGGGTTTACCCCCAGATTGAGAGGTTTCCAATTCCTCCAACTCTCACTCTCATTGGCTATTAAACTTTAGGAGCTGTGCAAGCTAAAACTGGGTAAGTGCCCCTGCACAGCCACACAAGAGATACACAAGTGTCCACATAATCAGGAAGAGGCAGGACATGGTAGCGGAAAGAGAACAGGTGTGGTTTGTCAGAAGAGACTTAAACTGGAGTCCTAGAGCTTTCCCTATCAGCTGTGCGACTTTGTAAGGAAGTAATTTAATCTCTCTCCCCCTCCCACCTCCAATCTCTGTTCTGGAGATAACAGCACTTACCTCAGGTAGGTTTGAGAGAGTGAGAGATTGTGTATAAAATGCCTACCAAGTACATTGTCTAGATTGGAGTAGGTGCTCAACAAAAGACAGCTATGCTCTGCTCAGGCCTGTAAAATTGAGGCAAGTGCTGGACACAGTAGCAGTGTCTATTGCCTCGGTCATGCCAGCCACACCCACATTCAGAGGGATGTAGCAAGACTTGAGTAGCAAAGACTGGAGATGTGTATAGTTAAGGATGCAGGCATGGCTAGAATTCAAAGCAGTTGCTACAAATCATTCTTTACCCTCATCATTCCCTGAGCCAAAGAACAATAAAGAAAAAGGAGAGGGGGTTTCTACTGGAAAGAGCTGGGGAGCTCCTAACACAAAGCTAAGAGTGCAAATAAACTCTGAAAAGAGGATTTAGCTACTTTAGGTGGAGATGGCATCAACTTGTCTGCAAAGAGAGGTAGCAAGTGACAGGGCTCCCCCCAAGTGAAATAAAAATAATGTGCTTGCAATCGTGCCACTGATTATAAATAGTCCATCAGCTCTGCCATGTGTCATCAGCCAGAAATATCATTAGGA
This sequence comes from Homo sapiens, assembly GCF_000001405.40. Classification (NCBI taxonomy): domain Eukaryota; kingdom Metazoa; phylum Chordata; class Mammalia; order Primates; family Hominidae; genus Homo; species Homo sapiens. The sequence goes on along the minus strand of NC_000001.11, from coordinate 50,176,055 downwards.
AACTTTACATTTTCTGACATACCCTTTAAGAAACACAGAGCTTGGGGTGGCTGCAAAACCAGCCTGAACTTCCCAAGCAATGTTATTGATTTGTGGGCGGCAGCAGAGCCGAAGGGGAGGAAAATGACAGGACGTCACATGTCAGCAAAGACTGATTACATAAAGCTCTCTTTGGAGTACGGGGGCCAGGGCTGGGAGATAATACAGCAAAAAGCCTGCCATGTCCTGGTGACAGGAGCCCATTTCAGCGGCCAAAAAATCTTTCCAACAGCTTCTGTTTTGCTGGTAAATGTCTGTGTTTGTGTTGGTTGTAGGAGGAAACCTGGGAAAACAAGTTGGGTTCTGGATGAGAAAATGGGTGACTTTGTTATAGGATGGAGCAAAGAGAATCACAAGAAAGCTCAATGGCATTTGACCCCAAATGGAAAACCCAAAATGACACTTCCATTAGGATATTCCTTTGTTTTGGAAGAACAGGGTGAGAAGAAGAAAGACAGGGGCAAACTTTACCAGACATGCCCTTCACCAGCCAGGATTAGTAACTGAAGAGGAAGGAGAGAATGCTGGGTGCACTCCAGCTGCTGGGACCCTTCTCTTTCCATCTCACTGTGTAAGTATGGTGTGTGAGTGGCGTGTGTGTGTGTGTGTGTGTGTGTGTGTGTGTGTGTACGTGTGGTGGGGGCAGGGGGAGGTGAATTACAAGACCCTGCCATATGTTCCCAGAAATTTCATTTTGCAAATACAAAAATACAGAGACCAATTTCATTGGTTTAAAAATATCATTTATCCGAAATTTGGTGTCACCTCATCAAACCTAGCTAAATAATTCACCTAATTAAATACATTTTCATCATGCAAATTTCTCAGTCATATTTACCTTGCATATATGAGAAGCTTTAAAAATTGCTGTACAAAAGTATTCTTATAATCACTTTTTAAAAACATTCACCAAGTTGAGCTGCTTTTAAAGGATATTTTTAAAACAATTATCTCAATGATAAACCTTATGCATAAGTTCTAGGAAACTGGTCAGATGGTCAATCTATCCAGCCCAATTTAATTTGCGTAAAATTAAAATAAATTATGAAAAATATAAACAAAACACCACTTAACAGCAAAAATTAGACCTAACTCACATTGGAGTAGTACTTGATTTATTTATACTGATGGAATATATGTGGAGGAATCATGCTTACGAGTGGTACATGCTCCTGACACACTATCCATCTTTCTAAAATTACTCATATATTGATGAAAATCTAAAATAAATATAATGGGCATAATTTTCACATTCTATATTTTATTTTTGTTTTAGACCTTTGCTTCTGGAGGAAGGAAAATACATTCAAGTCCTAGGAAGATTCTGAAGGTCAAATGAGGGAAAGGAGCCCTGCCCAGCAAGATGTATCATGTCAAGCCACCTGCTTCTATCAGTCCCAAATCCACCATCACCTTAGTTCCTGACTGCAATTAGCACAACTGTGTTATCACCTGCTCTAACTTTAGAGAGAGACTGCATTTAACATCAAGAATGAGGGTGCTTTTGGGAAAATGAAAAAAAAAAAAACAAACAAAAAACAGATGAACATCATTTCAGAAAGGAAGAGGAAAAATGATGATGATTCTCCTTGATATGAAATAATGAACTTCAAGCTCTAAAACAGAACATTGCATAGAACAAGAGGAGGACAGAGGCAGAAAAACTTGCCTGTGAATTGAAAGATATGAGATAGTCTGGTACCACAATGAAACTACCTGTGGTTAGCCTAGTTCATGAACAGGTTTTCTTAACATGCTTCTCACCATCATAGGAGTTCAGCTAAGTCTAATAAAAAGCACTCTATGGATCTAAGCATTCTCTTTTAACATGTCCTGTAGAGGATTAAATCTCTATGTAGAAAATAAAAAAACCCAAGCTTTACTTCTTTTAGAAACTATTTCAGTAGTAAGGGAGAGTAAAATGAGGAAAAATTTTATGTTTTAATTTTGGTGGCCATATATTGGTGATGGGTTTTATATTTGCAGTTCTGTATGCTAAGTGTACCTAGAAAAAAATAGATGAAACGCATTCACAAAAAATAGCAACACTTTTTCTATGGGGACCAAGAGAAATGCTATGCTGGGAGGGCCTGAGGGATCCAGTCTGGAGCCCAGAGCTAGTGTATCTGTATCTGTATTCCAGAAATAATATCTTTTTATTACTCTTTCTTTTTTTTTCCAAATGGCTACATCTTCTCCCTTTATCAGCAGTAGCAAGATTTGAGAACATAGGGATGGCAACAGTATTTTCAGAACAGAAAATTAAAACAAGCTGTATTTTTGTTCCCAATTTATGAGTCTATTTTGATGGGAAGTTGAACAAATAAAAAGGAAATCATCAAAGTTACATTTATTGAATCCTCTTTATTAAAAAATGAGATATGAAATTAAGACTGCCTCCAAAATTTAGAAACTATAGTGAGCATTTGGCCCCTTGGTGCCCAGGTGACCTACAACCCTTACTGTGACCAGTCCCTAATAATCCTGTCCAGCAGGCATGTGTGAATGGTCACCAGTTATCATGCATGGGCAGGAAATGCATTCTTGGCAGTTTGAGATGGAAACTTATAATTCAGAATGTACTTTCCAAGAGAAAACTGCTATACATAATGGCTACACTTTAAAGCACTTCAGAGTATTTTGAATTAAACAGGTTTTTGTTTTTAACAAGCTGCTCTTAAATCTGAACTTCAATATTTCTGTTTTTATAAAGCATAGGCACATAGGCACACACACAAATACACAATGTCTCCTCCTACTATGACATGGCAACATCTTTATTCTGTTATAATAATTTGTATATCCAACTTTTCCCCTTAGAAACAAAACACATCTTCCCATAATAACTAGCTCATAAAAGTTTCTATCCTTGCACATAGTAAGTCATCAACAAATGCTTGATAAATGAAAGAATGGATGTATGCATTTGTACCAGTCCTCCATTACTGAAAGCATATAACCAGAATGTTTGGTAAGTTTGGGGGAAGAGGGGGAAAAGAGGGGGTACCCAGGGAATTAATTTTGCATTTGTGAGAAAGAGAGGACACAACAATAAACTGACTCCGGGGGCTGGAAAACAAAACACAAACAAGAAATGTCCTGGGTAGGTTCTCCTCTGGCACAGATCAGATGAACAACAAAAATCACCCTTATCCACCTTTCCACAGAGATTCTGAGTTTACAAAATGCTTTCCCATCCTTCTATGCATTTGATTCTCTCAACAACCCTGTTTGAGAGATAATTATCATTTTATAGATGTGGATATTGAAGTTCAGAGAAAATGGTGATTTGCCTAAGATCACAGAGCTAGATCATAGTCTGGATCAGGGGTTAGAAAACTTTTTTATGTATAGGGCAAGACAGTAAGTAGTTTAGGCTTGGTAGGTCTTAGGGTCCCTGACAACTCTGCCATTGTGTAGCAGCCATAGACAGTATGTAAACAAATGAGTGTAGCTGTGTTCCAATAGAACTTTTTCTAGAAAAACAGGCAGTAGTGGCCCAATTTGGCCCATGAGCTGTAGATTGTTATCTTCCGATCTAGATCATTTGACTTCAAATCCTGTACTCTCTGCCACAACTAGTTACTCCATTTGAACTAAAATGTTATTATAATAACAATGATTCTGAGACCCTGAAATGTATCAGAGGCTTTTTGAATCTGCTGTGAAAGAGTAAATTATCTCCAGTAGTTTGTGTTAAGCATTTTTGTTATATTTAATCTCTAGAAAGTGTTGAGAGCATAGCTGGTTATAACCCCTTATTTTCCCAGCCATTCTGGATAGACGTAGCTTTTCCTTGCCTTTAGGATCCTGGAGATTATTCTGATCCTGACATCCTTATGGTTGATGGCTGCAGTAGAGAAGCTGGCCAGAAAGAACCTCAGCATTTCTGCACTGCCAATCTGCACACCTTGCTCTTTCGCTTTTTAAAAACCATCATTCTCCAGAAACCGAACAGTTACTCCCCTCATCTACAAAGCCCCTGAGGAGGCAGCCAGATGGGTAGCTGCTGTTGAAAACTTCTGAGTTGAGTAAGGAATTTTTATGGAAGTTAGAACCCCTAGTTCAGGCTGAAATCCTGTTCTGAAAGTGCATGATAAAATCCCCAGTCACCTCAAAATTACCTGCATGGCAGTAATCCACATACTAGGTTAATTGCAGCCAACTCCATATCCTGGGACTCCTTCACTGCCCATTCTGAGAGGTCTTTCTTGCTTTCAGCAGGCTTAAATCTACCCAAACACACCCAAGAAAGGGTCAGATGAATGGTTGTTACTGCATGTATCAATGTGTGTGTGGTTCAAAACTACTTGCTGTATAACCTTGGTTAAGTCATTTAAGCTTTATCAGTATGCTCTCTTATCTGGAAAAAACAGAGATAATCCCTTAATTCTCACAATCAAAGTATCACTGTGAAGATTATATTAACATGGGGACTAATAGCAGCTACAATTTATTCAGTGCCTACTTTGTGCCAGGCACTGTGCTAAGTGGCTTATTAATGTTACCTCATTTAATTCTGTGTGAAATGGGTATCATCAGGCCTACTGTGCAGATAAGGAAAGTGAGGCTTGAGAAATGTTAAATAATCTGTCTGAAGTCAACCAGCAAGTAGGCTCTGAGGCTAGGATTTGAATGAACTCCAGTCTGTTGGATATCTCAGTTCACACTTTCTCTCTACAGGGACTGGCCCAAGTTTAAGTGTCCAGCAGAGTGTCTGGCATCAGGCAGTTACTCAAGGGGATACATTCACTTGCACTGGGGGTCTCTTCTCCTTCTTAACACACTGACTGGGGATCCCTTGGGGTTCTGGAGCACCTATGATTGTTCCCTCCCATCCCACCTCTGAGAGGCTTACAATGAGTCTTGGCTTATTTCCTGCAAGCCCAGTGTTACTACAGCCAACTAGTCAGAGGATTTATTTTCTTTTGGTCATTCACACAATTTCCTCAAACTAAGTATGTGGGGTTTTTTTGTTTGTTTGCTTGTTTTGTCTCATTCTTTTGCGCAAGCTGGAGTATGGTGGCATGATCACAGCTTGCTGCAGCCTCAAACTCCTGGGCTCAAGCGATCCTCCCACCTCAGCAACCAGGGTAGCTGAGATTACAGGTGCATGCCACCACACCTGGCTAAATTTATTTGTTTATTAAGAAATCAGGTCTTGTTTTGTTGCTCAGCCTGGTCTCCAACTTTTGGGCTCAAGCATTCCTCCTGCCTTGGCCTCTCAAAGTGTTGGGATTACAGGCCACCATGCCCAGCTTAAGAATGGTTTAAAACCTTGCTACTCAAGGTGTGGTTCCTGTATCAGCATCACTGGCATCACCCAGGGACTTGTGAGAAATGCAGATCTTCAGGTCCCATCCCAGACCTACTGAATCAAAATCTGTACTTCCACAAAATCCTCAGGTAAGTCAAATGCACATGAAGGATTAAGAAGCATTGGTTTAAAGTATGATGAGAAACACTGGAAAGAAAGGGAATTGGAGTTGGTCAGACGTGTGTCTGAATCCCAGTTCTTCAATTTACTGCTGTGTGACTCTGGCTAAGTTAAATTAACCTCCCTGTGCCTTGGTTTCTGGGGATACTACACACCCAACTCATGGTAACAGAGAAGGGAAGCTCTGATGGGAAAGCTCTCAGAATTTCTTGGTATATGCTATTTCTTTTTGTCCCCAGAATTTACATTCTTACTTTGCGTCTTTCTGCTCCAATAAACTCATTTATAAGATGGGGCTAATATTACTTTTTTCAAGGGGTTAATAGGAGGATTAAAAGTGATAATGCATGTAAAGTCGCTGCCATAAAACAGATGCTCAATAGATGTTGGTTCCTTTTCCTTCTTCTCTCATGCCCCACAAGATACTGTCTGACACTGTGGTCTATGTGAATGTTATTCCTCAATGAAACCGCAACCTTCTTGAAGGTAGAGGCTGCTTCTGATGCCTTTCTTTTACATTGGAGCATATAATATTTAACATGCACACAAATCCCACATATAACTAGCACCTACCACATGCTAGACACTATGGGTAGACCCCAAAATGACCAAAAAATTGTCCCCGCATTCAGGGAGCTTATAATGTAGAAGGAAAACACAGGTATAAAAACTAATTATAGCCCAGAAAAAATAATACATATAGCCCAGCAAAAATAATACATATAACAGGTATTTTTCTTTTAAAGCTATATATAAGAACAGAGAGGAAGTTGAAATTGATTCTGACTGAGTAGAGTAGGGAAGGCTTCATGGAGGTGGAGACATTTGAGCTGGGCTTTGAAGATAAAGCAGAGTTTTGATAGAGTTTCCCTATCACAATGATGACATTCGAACTTGAGGGCTGAATCTAAGTACTACATTTATCCCACAGATATTTAGTGAGCATGTGTTATGTACCAGGCATATTCCATTCACTAGGAATATAAAAGAGAACAAAACCTACTTGTTTTCTGCCATCACTGAATTTACATTCTGATTGGGGTTGAGGGAAATGGACAAGAAATACATAAATAAAATATAACGTTTTTCAGATGATAGTGAGTTGTAGGGAGAAAATAAAGCAGAGAAGAAGGAAAGGCAGTGTAGGGGGTGGAGTTGCGATTTTTAAAAGGTATGATGGTTTTTAAATAGGTATGATAGTTAATACTGAGCGTCAACTTGATTAGACTGAAGGATACAAAGTATTGCTCCTGGGTGTGTCTGGGAAGGTGCTGCCAAAAGAGATTAACATTTGAGTCAGTGGGCTGGGGAAGGCAGATCCACCCTTAATCTGGTGGGCACCATCTAAACAGCTGCCAGTGAATATAAAGCAGGCAGAAAAATGTGAAAAGGAAAGACAGGCCTAGCCTCCCAGAGATCCAGCATCTTTTTCCCATGCTGGATGCTTCCTGCCCTTGAACATCGGACTCCAAGTTCTTCAGTTCTTTGACTCAGACTGGCTCTCCTTGCTCCTCAGCTTTCAGACAACCTGTTGTGGGACCCTGTGATCATGTAAGTTAACACTTAATAAACTCCTCTTTATATATATATATATACATATATATATGTGTGTGTGTATATATATATATATATACATATCTCCTATCAGTTCTATCCCTCTAAAGAACCCTGACTAATACAGATTTTGGTACCAGGAGTGGTTCTAGAGGAACAGAATATTAAGGATGGAGTTCTTTAATTAGTTTTGGGATTTTTGGAGTTGGCTGCTTAATATGATTAGACCCCAAAATGCTAAGAACTCTACTTCTAATAGCACAGAGAACATTGACAGTCTTTGGCATGACCTGTTTAGAGCGTTATGCAAAATAAATGAATTTGATACTCCTGATTCACCGCTCGTGAGTGGCAAGGAGTTTAGTGACTCTATACATGATACCTTTGACTGTATGTGGAGAACCAAGGAACATAATGAAGCTGGTTGGTTGCTCCTAAGTTCAGTGGACAAAGTGATGAAAGAAAATGATGAACTCAGGGATTCTGTCTCCCAGCTTCAGAAGCAGATACTGAGCTTCAAATCTACTGAGATTGCCTTGAGTGAGAGTCTTATCTCTTGTAGAGAAAGAGCTGAAATTACGGAAAAACAGACATGAGCTCTTATCATGTGAGTGGCTGACCCGCAACTAAAGATGCATGCACAGCCTCGCCAGGTGTCTACTGTTAAAGTGAGGGCATTGATTGGAAAAAATGGGACCCTGAAACTTGGAATGGGGATGTGTGGGAGGATCCTAATGAAGCTGGGGACACTCCTGCCACCCTGATGAAGCTGGGGACACTCCTGCCACCCTGCCTTCTCTTCCCCAGTTTGCGCCAATGGCCTCATGGGGAGTTCCCTATGATCAGTTGACAGAGGAAGAGAAAACTAGGGCCTGGTTTAAAGATGGTTCTGCACACTATGCAGGCACCACCCGAAAGTGGAGAGCTGTTGCACTACAGCCCCTTTCTAGGACATCCCTGAAGGACAGCGGTGAAGGGTAATCTTCCCAGTAGGCAGAACTTTGAGCAGTGCACCTGGGTGTGCACTTTGCATAGAAGGAGAAATGGCCACATGTTCAATTATATAGTGATTCATGGGCTGTAGCCAATGGTTTGGCTGGATGGTCAGGGACTTGGAAGAAGCATGATTGCAAAATTGGTGACAAAGAAATTTGGGGAGAGGTATGTGGATGGACCTCTCTGAGTGGTCAAAAACTGTGAAGATACTTGTATCCCATGTGAGTGCTCACCAATGGGTAACTTCAGCAGAGGAGGATTTTAATAATTAAGTGGATAGAATGGCCCATTATGTGGACACCACTCAGCCTCTTTCCCCAGCCACCCCTGTCATGAACAAAGTGGCCACGGTGGCAGGGATGGAGGTTATGCATAGGCTCAGCAACATGGACTTCCACTCACCAAGGGTGACCTGGCTACAGCCACTGCTGAGTGCCTAATTGGCCAGCAGCAGAGACCACTATCGAGCCCTTGATATGACACCATTCCTCGGGGTGATTAGCCGGCTACCTGGTGGCAGGTTGATTATATTAGACCTCTTCCATCACGGAAAGGGCAGAGGTTTGTCCTCACTGGAATAGACACTTACTCCAGAAATGGGTTTGCCTATCCTGCACACAATGCTTCTGCCGAGACTACCATCCATGGATTCACGGAATGCCTTATCCACCATCATGGTATTCCACACAACATTGCCTCTGACCAAAGCACTCATTTTATTGCTAAAGAAGTGCAGCAGTGGGCTCTTGCTCATGGAATTCCACTGATATTACCATGTTCCCCATCATCCTGAAGCAGCTGGATTGATAGAATGATGGAATGGCCTTTGAAGTCACAATTACAAAACCAACTAGGTGACAATATTTTGCAGGGCTGGGGCAAAGTTCTCCAGAAGGCTGTGTATGCTCTGAATCAGTGTCCAATATATGGTACTGTTTCTCCCATAGCCAGGATTCATGGGTCCAGGAATCAAGGGGTGGAAGTGGAAGTGGCACCACTCACCATCACCTCTAGTGATCCACTAGCAAAATTTTTGTTCCTGTTCCTGCAACACCACGTTCTGCTGGCCTAGAGGTCTTAGTTCCAGAGGGAGGAACGCTGCCAACAGGAGACACAATAACAATTCCATTAAACTAGAAGTTAAGATTGCTGCCTGGACACTTTGGGCTCCTCCTACCTTTAAGTCAACAGGCTAAGAAGGGAGTTGCAGTGTTGGCTGGGGTGATTGACCCAGACTATCAAGATGAAATTAGTCTACTACTCCACAATGGAGGTAAGGAAGAATATACATGGAATACAGGAGATTCATTAGGGTGTCTCTTAGTATTACCACGCCCTGTGATTAAGGTCAATGGGAAGCTACAACAGTCCAATCCAGGCAGGACTGCAAATGGCCCAGACACCTCAGGAATGAAGGTTTGGGTCATTCCACCAGGAAAAAAACCATGACCTGCTGAGGTGCTTGCTGAAGGCAAAGGGAATACAAATGGGTACAGAAACAGGGACTGTAATTGTCATGGGTATTTCCTCCTTCTTTTGCTAAAGACATGTTTGTGCATGTATACACTTGTACTAAGAAAATGTCTTTATTTTATTTCCTTTTCCTTTATCATGTGACATAAGATTTATTGACTTCATATCAGCATTTAAGTATTGTTAACTCAGTATAATGGTATTTGGGTTGGGGATGGGTGCGTTTCTGGTTGTTTGAAGGATAGTTGTATTATGTTAGGTGTAATCATGAGCTTATTACTACCTTTATTTGAAGATTATTTATAACCTCAAGAGATGTGTATGGGTTCAAGCTGACAAGGGGTGGACCTGTGATGGTTAATACTGAGTGTCAACTTGATTGGATTGAAGGCTACAAAGTATTGATCCTGGGCGTGTCTGTGAGGGTGTTGCCAAAAGAGATTAACAAAGGCAGATCCACCCTTAATCTAGTGGGCACGATCTAATCAGCTGCCTTAGAATATAAAGCAGGCAGAAAAACGTGAAAAGGAGAGACTGGCCTAGCCTCCCAGCCTACATCTTTCTCCTGTGCTGGATGCTTCCTGCCCTTGAACATCGGACTCCAAGTTCTTCTGTTTGGGAACTCGAACTGGCTCTCCTTGCTCCTCAGCTTGCAGACAACCGATTGCGGGACCTTGTGATTGTGTATGTTAATACTTAATAAACTCCCCTTTATATATATATACACACACACATATATATATACACACACACATATACACATATATATACACATATATACACACATATACACACATATACACATATATGTATATATACACACATATACATGTATATACATATATAAGTATATATGTATATGTGTGTATATATGTATATGCACACATATACATATATACACACATATATATACCTATATACATATATTTATGCATATATATGTATACGTATACATACACGTATATATGTATACATATATACGTGTATGTGTGTATATGCATATATACTATATATACATATAGGTATATGTATATACGTATATATGCATAGTATATACATGTATACACACACATATATATGTGAGTGTGTGTGTGTGTGTATCTATATCTATATCTATATATATATATATCTCCTGTTAGTTCTTGTCCTTCTAGAGAACCCTCACTAATACAGATGGTCAGGTAAGGCCTCACTGCTAACATGATGTTAGAGCAGAGATCTGAGGGAAAGGGCTGGGGTGATTGAAGGGTGGTAGCCAGTCACTTCTGTTAGAGAAAAGGGCATTCCAGGGAGAAGGAATCTCATGTGCAAAGGCCCTGAAGCAGGAACGTGCTTGGCATGTTGGAGCAGTGGCACAAGTGAATGTGAGGGCAATCCATCATCACGCTTGTCAAATGACTGAAAAGAGGAAAGGGGCACCCTTAGTTTCTTCAATCTGAATTACCATGCTGCTGAATAAGACATGTATGAAAAAACTACAGTGGCCCCCTCCCCTCAGTCTTGCAGATCAGGCGAACATTCTCACTGACACATCCTTTGAAAACTGTCTGGTAATGTGTCTCTGTTCCCCGCTAGACTGGGAGCAACATGGGAACAAGATGCTGCTTTATTCATTTCTCTTTCCCCAGGAACTAACAAAGGGCCCATGACATTATTGGATATCCAGTAAATGTTTGTTGGGTAAACTAATGAATATTATCTATTCACATGGATATTTACATTCTCTTAACTACCTTCAGTCTCCCAAATACCAAACATAAAAGGACCGGGAAAAGCAGCAAAATCTTTTTTTTACCAGAGCCTTACCCATGTCCATAGGAAGTTGGTAAGCGGAACCCGATCCCATAAGACACATGTGAAAGACCTGTGGGCATTTAGTTTGAAGGAGAGAAGACTCTAGAGGTATCCAAAGCCCTTTCTTTTATTTTTTATATTGTATTGCTGTGTTGCCCAGACTGGTCTTGAACTCCTGGCCTCAAGCAATCCTTCCACCTAGGCTTCCCAAAGCACTGGCATGTGCCACTGTGCCTGACCTCAAAGTCCCTTCTAATATTTTCAAAGGTCATGATGGGAAAATAAGGGTAGACTTGCTATGTGGGGCCCTGAAGGAGAGAATGAGAGTCAGGCAGTGGAAGAAAATTAGGGAACAGATTTTTGCCTTTATAAAAGGATAACTTTCTAATAATGCTTTTTTAAGGGGTGGGCTGCCTTGTGAGGTAGCGAGAGCCCCATGCCTAGACATGTGCAAACAGAAGCCAGACCTACTATTTGTCTGAGGATGCTAGAGCAGTAGGTAAGACTGACCCATAAGATCCCTTTAAAGGTTCTAAATTATATTTATTTTAGACTCAATGCTCATAGTGGGTTTCAGTTTATACTTATTTCTAACTGAGAAAATAAAAATAATAGCAAATATTTTTTGAGCACGCATTATGGGCCAAGCACTTCACTTATATCATTACTTACATAATCTTTACAACCCTCTGAAGCAGGTATTTTGATATCTGTTTTACTAAAGGGGAAATTAAGGCCCATTACGGCCCAGAGGGAGAAGTAGCTTTCTTGTCTAGAAAATAGTGGCTAGGCCCATCTGACTCTAGAGCCAGTGTACTTTCTGCTGTGCCCTGGTTTCTTGAATATGTGCTCATTTGTATGCTAAATACCTGACATTAGCATAGTATGCCTGAGACTTTGAGAGAGCATGCGGTTGTTTGTTTGGGTTGTTTCTTTTGAGACTGAATCTCACTCTGTCACCTAGGCTGGGGAGCAGTGGCATGATATGGGCTCACTGCAACCTCTGCTTCCTGTATTCAAGCAATTCTCATGCCTTAGCCTCCCGAGTAGCTGGGGTTACAGGCATGAACCACCACTCCCGCCTAATTTTTGTATTTTTAGTAGAGACGAGATTTTGCAATGTTGGCCAGGCTGGTCTCGAACTTCTGGCCTCAAGTGATCTGCCGCCTCGACCTCCCAAAGTGCTGGTATTACAGGCGTGAGCCACTGCACCCGGCGAGAGAGCATGGGTTTTCTAGTACCAACTCCAAGTCTTTGTTCTCCCATTTAATTCCAATATATATCCCAAAGTATCCCATTCCCATCTCCCAACTTGGCTGTGCCTTTCAAACTGGATCTGGTACATCATAGAATGACAATCTTGGAAAAGACTTTAGTATCAGCCATCTTCAAATCCCTTCTACAGATGTGGAAACTGAGGACAAAGAAAGAAGCAAGGAGCTCATGATCTAGTAGAAAAGTCAGACTCATGAATTATCAGTGATAGTAGAGTATAGTTAAGTGTTACAATAGTGAGATGAGAGAGGGCTTTCTGGAGGATGTGATATCTGAATTGAGACTAATTTGAAAAAATTGACAGGAGACAGCCAGGCAATAGGCAGTCAAGGGCAACAGGTATAGTAGAGCATTCCAGAAGGAGAGGACACAATGAGCACCCATTCCTCGAGAAGAAAGAACTGTCACGAAATTTATAGTCATCACTTCCACTTGTTGTTGATGTCAACCTGTACTGTCAATACCATTTCTAAGTTGAATCCATTCTCAGATGTGTATATGAGATCTCCTTATATCTCTGGCAGAGATTCAGGAAGCATTTAAGCATCTGTAATTTTGAGTGTGTCTGCTCTCTGCCAACAATATTGTTTAAAAAAACAGGACTGGCTGGGTGCAGTGGCTCACGCCAGTAATCCTGGCACTTTGGGAGGCCAAGGCAGGTGGATCACTTGAGGTCAAGGGTTTGAGACCAGCCTGACCAACATAGCAAAACCCTGTCTCTACAAAAAGTACAAAAATTAGCTGGGTGTGGTGGCATGTGCCTGTGGTCCCAGCTACTTGGGTGGCTGAGGCAGGAGATTCACTTGAACCCAAGAGGCAGAGGTTGCAGTGAGCCGAGATCACACCACTGCACTCCAGCCTGGGCATCACAGCAAGACTCTCTCTCAAAATAACATCAACGCAACAACAACAAACCCAGGACCCGAATTCCCAAAGTATTTAAAATTACCTTGGGCCAGTCCTTGGTTATTTCCAGAGGGTATATTCTGGCTTCCTAAGTAGATGTTTGTACTCATCATGTGGCATAAAGATGGCAACAAGCAAAGTGCCTGGCCTACAGTAGGTATTTAATATAAGCTTGTTGAACTGAATGTATTTCTCAATAGACCCTAAGTTCCTTAAGGGCGGGCGCGTGAGTCTTATTATGACCCACATGGATCTTGTTATGACCAATGTCTGGTACATAGTAGATTTTCAAGAAATCTATGTTGAATGGATGGATGAATGAATGAATTCAATAAGTGAATGAATAGTAACAAAAACAGTTATCATTTTGTGAGTGCCAGTCAGTATACTAAACATTTTATTTCTATCATTTCATCTATTGTCTAAAGCAATCCAACAAGGTAAGCATTATCATTGCAATTTATAATCAAGGAGGCCTCAGATTCCAAGATCTGAACATCCATCCAGCTCCAAAGCCCATACAGGCCTTTAATAGAGTTTCTGATTTCAGAGAAGATAGCCAAATTGTTCACACAGATGTAAAATGATGTCTCTGAACATGAAAATGCACAGACTATATACATTCATTTCTAGCAGTCCCAAAAGCAGAAAGACCAATTACAAAGCTACACTATTCATTAAGAAAGGCCAACTGCTGCGTGCAGTGGCTCACATGTATAATCCCAGCACTTTGGGAGGCTGAGGCAGGAGGACTGCTTGGGCCTGGGAGGAGGAGGTGCAGGGAGCCACGATCCTGCCCTTGCACTCCAGGCTGCATGGCAGAGGGAGACCCTGTCTCAAAAAACAAACAAAAGAAAGGCCAACCAACTATTTCTCAAAGGAGGTATTTTCTTGTCTTCCACTCCCCCACCCTTTTGGTTTGTTATATAAAATAAATTGCTCCAAATGACAGATCTTTAAATACACATTTCAAAAATACACCTCAATAAACGAAAAACTGAACTAATCTGAACTTGATTTTTCTTCTGTTTGTTCAGAAAAGAAAGGAAATTTGTAAGATAAAAGCTGGTATCAAGTACTTAGTTAAAAAAAAACTGAAAAGGAAAAGATATTCTAAGTAGTGCACTAGGACAATAGAAGCCTCAGTGACAACTATCTCACCTTCAGCATTTATCATACAAAAAGAAGGAGTATTCAGACTGATGACCCTGGGGCAATGAAAGATTCTTAATCGAAGCAACATTAAATTAAATTATGTTCAGAATATTCTTACAAGACAGGAAAGAATAGTCACACGTTTAAAAATGTTTTTAACAAGGGTTGAAAAAAAAAGAGGATGATTTTGGCAAACTCCCAGCTAGCCAGAAAAATGAACCAGAATTCCTAATTCTTGGTTGGCTTACTCTCACATGAAACAAAGGTCTGGGTGTCAGATAGACAAGACATTCCACCCAGAGTGGATGCAAACCAACAGGTGATTCCAGCAATGCAGCTGATGTTAACCACGAGGGTTTAGCAACAAAAGAGGAAGAGATAGAAAAAATTATCAGGTTAATACTAATTACATACACTGTAATTAGCCTTTGGGCAAAATGAGACTTTCTGTGGGTGAAATGTCTGTGCATGAAAGGAACTGCTATATTTAACACTAAGACAATGGCTTCTAAAACTCCCACCAGACACCATTCTTACAAAGCGCATGTAGAAGCTCCTGATATCATGTTGGGATTTAGATCAAAAGGGATAAGTTATGTGAGAGGGCTTGGCACAGAGTAATACTTCATAAACATTAACAGAATATAAATCCATTAAAACTGCCTTATTCAAAGTGAAAGACATTTATGGCTCTCACTCAAGGAGATGAGATAAATAACTTGTCCATACAGAGATAAGTCAGGATGCCAAATGTTAGCTGAAGGACTTTGAAAACCTCTGTCAGCGTGTCCTTTCTGAAATAACACTAAGGTGCTCTCTGGCCTTGGATCTACCACTAATATCTGTGTGAAATGCAGAAATGGACACCTCTGTCCTTATCATCGAGGAGTTCGCTGATAGTAAAGTGCCAGGCATGAAGCTCACCACCATGTTCTAACATCTTAGTTTGATTTCAACAAATGTTTAAAAAGAAAGAAATTCCCAGATCCATGAAGAAGAAAAAAAACAAGAAACAAAAGTATGTTTTCCCTTTTCATTGCTATTTAACTTGCAGGTAGGAAATAAGGCAAAATAAAGACATAAAAACCCAAGAACAACTCATGCAGAAATAGGTCTTTAGGGTAGAAATTGCGGGGGAACGTCATCTTCTTTGATTTTCTAAAAAGCTCGGGATTCTTGGGGAATGGCTACACAAAGCAAGAATGACCAGCTTCATTACATGGAGTCAAGTACGTGGCAGATGTGAAAATGAAGGAGTGCCCAGGAATACGAGTGAGATTGCAAAATACGAAGACCTTCTAATGGCTCAGCTCTTCCAGGCAATGGAAAATGGAATGTCACCCTGACAGTCAGGACACCAAATGAACCCACGGTTTGAATCATACCCAGAACGTGCTCAGTACTCAATAATTTTCAAAAAAATGCCTAGTGTGAGATGGGACTGTGCTGATGCTAGAGTTTGGATCCATATGGCATCATTTTCTGTTCCTCCTGGGAGTAGGTGAGACTTTCCCAGGACACCAACGCTTTT